>NC_000003.12:80919090-81222121 GCF_000001405.40 Homo sapiens
TCACCTGCATAGCTGTTTTTACTTTATTTTTTCCTTTTTTAAAAATATAATGATGGTGACACTACCTTACACATAAGAGGTGCTTATTATGTGCCAGGTATTCTTCTAAACATGTGACACATTGTATCTGATTTAGTCCTCCTAGGCGTTATAGTAGGATGTGAAAACTGAGACCCAGAGATATGGAGTAATGTATTCATGGTCACTAAATTAGTAAATGGTTACATTTGACTAAGTACTCTTTATTATCATTTAATGCTCTCTCCTTTAATTAATTATAAACCTTAGAATTTGAAACTTGTAGTCTTAACATTTTTTAAATGGGTTGAAAATTATAAATGTCACAGGAAAGTATTTCTTTTGTAATGTATTTTATATTATCCAACTAAAAAGACTTGAGGAAGAGTAAAAACAGAGACCAAAACAAAACTTCCTTCATGCTCTTGCTATACTAAAGCAGTACAAACAGTTACCAGTGTAATATCTTAGCTGTTTATTAAATAAGAGAAATTGAATTTTGCCTCTTGGCCCTTGCAAATTGCATTTCACTTTGCACAGGGAACACGTCATAGTGTGCATTTAAGATCAGATTCAGAGGGACATACAGTATTTATTTGTGAGCAATATGTTACTTTTACATTAAAAAATTCAATAATGTTTTTACAATAAAATATTATAAAGTTGTAAGAAAATGCATTTCAGTTGAACTGACATGTGTTTAATGCTCCTAGTCTTGACAGTTTCAGAGATTTAAACACAAAAATTTAAAAGAATATTCCTTGAGAAGTTAGTAGATATCCTTCATACCAAGAAAGAATATCATATGTCAATAACATGAAGGCTTACATAATTGCTTTCTCTGTACTAGTTATGAAATTTTAGAAGTTTGCTTTGTTTAATATTTTGGCCTAAATTATATTACTGATTTTTGGATAGATAATGAACACAGTGAATATTTTGAATAATAAAAACAGAGGCACAGATGTAAGTCTTTTTTCCTCCATCACCACATGCCTCTCAGATTTCCTCTTTAGAGATAACTACAGTTTCCAGTTTCTTGTGTATCCCTGGAGAGTTATTTCATGCAAATACAAGCAGTATTAAAAGATTTAAAGTGGATATTCTGTCATGTCAAGGAAAGGAAACACATTTAATAGCATATAGATTTTCATAATTATGTTCTTTCTTCCAAATATTGGTTTTAAGTGTTCCCTTTAGTAAAAGTAAATTGTATGATGTATTTCTTAGTCTCAGGTCTCTTGGGTAATATTGAAATTATTAAGATATCTATGAGTACATGTATTCTAAAATATTTCAGTGGGTTTTATATTTTCACGTCTTTGTGAGTCTCCTTGATTATTTTATAAAGTAGTTCTAGCTCAAATTCTTTTAAAATTTTCTATAGGCATAAAGATAATGACCCTATGTCTTATACATTTATTTCATATATGTAATAACTTTTATTTATTCATTACTGTTTGATTCTCAGAAACATGGCAATATGCTTTGGCTCTGTGTCCCCATCCAAATCTCATCTTGAATTGTAATAATCCCCACGTGTTCAAGGCAGGACCACGTGGAGGTAATTGATTCATGGGGAAGTTTCCCCCATGCTGTTCTCATGATAATAAGTGAGTCTCATGAGATCATGATTGTAAGTTTCTTGAGGTCTCCCCAGCCATGCAGAACTGTGAGTCAGTTAAACCTCTTTCCTTTATAAATTGCCCAGTCTCAGATATTTCTTCATAGCAGCATGAGAATGGACTAATACAGTAAGTTGGTATCAAGGTAGTGCGGCACTGCTGTAAAGATGCCTGAAAATGTGGAAGCGACATTGGAACTGGTAACAGGCAGAGGTTGGAACAGTTTGGAGGGTTCAGAAGAAGACAGAAAGAGGTGGGAAAGTTTGAAACTTCCTAGAGATTTGTTGAAAGGCTTTGAGCAAAATGCTGATAGTGATATTAAGAATGATGTCCAGGCTGAGGTGGTCTCAGATGGAGATGAGGAACTTCTTGGAAAATGGAATAAAGGTGACTGTTCCTATGCTCTAGGAAAGAGTCTAGTGGCATTTTGACCTTGCCCTAGAGATCTGTGGAACTTCGAACTAGAGATAAATGATTTAAGGTATCTGGTGGAAGAAATTTCTAAGCAGCAAAGCATTCAAGAGGAAGCAGAGCATAAAAGTTTGGAAAGTTTGCAGCCTGGCAATGTGATACAAAACAAAAACCTCTTTTCTGGGGAGAAATTCAAACCTGCTGCAGAAATTTACATAAGTAACAAAGAGCCAAATGTTAATCACCAAGACATTAGGGAAAATGTCTCCAGGGAATATCAGATACCTTCACAGCAGCCCCTCCCATCATAAATCCACAGGTCTAGGAGGGAGAAATGGTTTCATGGACCAGGTTCAGGGACCCCTGCTCTGTGCAGCCTTGGGACATGGTGTCCTGCATCCCAGCTGCTTCAGCTCCAGCTATGGCTAAGAGGGGCCAAGGTATAGCTTGGGCCATTACTTCAGAGGGTGCAAGCCCCAGGACTTTGTTGCTTCCACATGGTGCTAAGCCTGTAGGTGCACAAGTCAAGAATTGAGTTATAGGAACATCTACCTAGATATCAGAGGATATATGGAAATGCCTGGGTGTCCAGGCAGAATTTTGCTACGGGGGGCGGAACCCTCAAGGAAAACCTCTGCGAGGACAGTATGAAGAGGAAATGTGGGATTGGAGCCCCCACACTAAGTCTCTCTACTGAGGCACTGCTTGATGGAGCTGGGAGAAGAGGGCCACTGTCCCCCAAATTCCAGAATAGTAAATCCATGGGTGGCTTGCACCCTGCACCTGGAAAAGCCGCAGGCACTCAATACCAGCCCATGAAAGCAGCCAGGAGGGAAGCTTTACCCTGCAAAGCCTCAGGAGCAGAGCGACCCAAGGCTATGGGAGCCCACCTCTTGCATCAGCGTGAAAATTATCTAATGAATACTAAATACTTAAAGAGCCTTTGCAAATATTTTCTAACAACATAAATTACCTTTAAAATATTATTTTAAATTATTGCAACTCTAGCTTTGATAGTGATATTAGTACTGACATCTACACATGGTGTTGAGATATATACATGCTTTAGAAGAGAATTTCGTTTCAATTCAGAAACCATTGCCTCTATTCTGAAAACTGGGTAGATCTGCAGAGCTCTCTCTCAACTTATTAACTGTTTTTGTTTTGTATTAATTTAGAAAATTTGGAAAGAGAACGTATTTTTCTAAGTAGTAGATTTCCTTCTTATTTACTACATAGTTTCATCTGATTCTTAATCATCTTACTATTTCAGGAAAAAATAAACAGTCTGTGGTAGAAATGTAAGTGGCTGAGCAAGAAGATACATAAATAGATGGATGGTGAATAGATGATGACAGAGGTAGACATAGAAATGTAGATGTAGGCTAGGTACTGACAGATTTCCATCTCTACCTACACCTACACTATCTGTCTATCTATATGTATCTATCCAGCTATCTATCTATCTAACTCAAGAAATCTCAAGTGCAGGAATTTCAGATCCATAGAACTGAGTTACTCATACTCCATGCATTCGACGTTATTGTTATCATCTTGTTCATTGTTGTTGTTCTAATGCTTTGGTCTTAAACCCTTGCTCAAATTTTCTTCCTCTTCCTGACATTGACACTCACTCTCCTGGATTCATTGATGTATACATACATGTCTACGTGATATATATGTATACACAAATATATATGCTACTATTCAGAGTTTAATTATATAAATGCTTCAAACATGTTGATGTTTTTTGTCGTTTTTAATTCAATATATTTCATCCAAGAGTTTTATATATAGTGTTTGTTCTCTTTATAGTTGCTGAAAATTTGATTGGATCTATATAACATGTTTTGTTTTTATATTCTATTGTGGATAGGAAATTAATATCTATGCTATACATTACTATCATATGCAATGTGTTGCCAAAGCTTTTTGTTCTGTAGGGCCATCTATGATTCGAAGCTCCCGTGCATGCAGGAGCATCCCATTTCTAGAAAGAAATAAAAATTTTCTTGTTTTCTGCCTCAAAAAATGCAGAAGAAGCTTGCTCAATCAAAAAATGTGGGGAGTTAACACTTAAGAATTACCCTCAAGTGTAGGACTGAATAAATGACCCAAGCCCATCCTGGAGAGAACAATTCAGAAGTACCATTTCCATGCTTCCTCAGATGGGCAGTAAGATAATTCAGCTCTAGTTGTCCACATAGATAACTGTCTCCATAAAATGTATTTTACTTCTTTTTCCTTTTTCTCTGTCACACTGTTCCCACTCCTTTTCTCCAAATTTTTTTAGATCGCTTTCCAGGTAAGCTAGCTTCACTCAAGTCCTTGTCACCGACTTTGAGAAGAATCAAATGATGACACAATGTTATGACAGACCATCCTACATATGTTTCCCTGTGAATTTATGTTGGCTTGAGGATGGTAGAGTAAAAATACCATCAATGTGAAATGTTGGATTATAGTCCCCAACCATAACTCCTACCTGTAATAGAATTACATATTCATGCCAGGAGTCATGTGACGTTGCAGTGCTTTCCCCTGCCATGTGCTCCTGTAGGATCACTGTCCCTGCATCAATACTGCACAGTTTAATAACTATACCTTTGCAATATTCCTCAAATATCTGGTAGAACAGGTTTCCTTCCTCCACCCTCACTGCATGGAATATCTTTTACAAAATAACTTTAGTAATTTGTCAACTTTTATTATAACACACTAAATTAGGATCAGTTTTCCAAAATCCCTCTAAAATCCTGCTTCTCTGTGGAATGGAATTCCACTGGGTTTTAGAAAAATTGACGGAAAATATGTATCCCTCCGATGTTAGTTTAGTATCCATGCAAACATAATAAAATTTTCAGTATGTTTAGGTCTTTTAAGAATAATATTTAATGGAGTTTTCAAATTCCAGCCAAGTACCTATAGACTCCCTACTCTAGGCAGAAGGCTTTTGCATGAGCTTTAAATGTTCTTTCCGAAAGGAAGAGACCCCAGCACTCTGATTAAAAACCCAGTGAATTTCTAATCTTCATAAAGCTCTCATTTTAAGCCTGATTTATTTAGGGATAGCTTTCTTTATCAAGCTGACTATATACAATATCTCAATTTATATTTAATAAGCATTATAACTCCTGCTGTGTTGGCATTCCATAATATTACTTTTATAAATTGTATATAATTATTTGATTAATACCCCCCAACTAGACTCAAGGGTTCATATGCCCATGTTGAAAAAATAAATAAATAGAGTTTACTTTAGACATTCCCCTATAATATTATAGTGGATCAATTAGCCTGGAGTAGTAATTAATGATTATACACATAGGACAAAAGAAAACATCAGCTAGCCAATAAATATATTCATCTCAATTTAGTATAGTAGTCTTAACTTTGCACTTATCACTTTCATTAAAAATGCTTATAGTAGTTTTAGTGACATTTAGAAATGATTATCATAATATAGTCTGGTTAAACTCAGAGTAATAGCTTTGTTATTTACATATATGGGAAAAAAGTTCACCTACAACTAAATATGCTTGTTTCTCTTTTAGGTTCCTCAAAACTTGTTTAATAAGTCATCTGTTTTTATTGCTTTCTTTGCCTTTCATCTTTCATTCATTTAATACTCAATGATACCACTAGCTTCTCTCTATTAAAAAATTTAATAAAAGATGGTGGATAGTTGGGTTATTTTCACTCATTTTGTGAATAAGGCAACAGAGATCCATGAACATAAGAGACCCGGTCAAGGTAGCCCGGGTAATTTTTGTTGTAGCCAGGTGGAGAACCCCTACCCATCATTTGTTCACCACACTAAACCATGCCATTTCACCAGAATCGTAAAATTCTGGCCAAATGCGTAGTATTTTGCTCAGTTTTTACCTTTTGGTCATTTAATCAGTACTTGGCTGTGATGGCCATGCAAGCTTTCTTGAATTCTGTTGTTTCAGTTTCTCCAACCTTGAATCAGCCAGAAAGCACAACACGACCTTATTCCTACACCCTGCCCCTCTCTATCTATCTAACTTTCATTATGATCCGTATTTTCACAGCTTCACTCAGACTTTTTCTTCAAAATCAGCAGATCTGTAGCTGTCTTTTCACACTTAGTTCCTCTAAGATCTTATCCATTCCTATGAACATAAGTTAGTGAATATCAGATCTGTATCTCAAGCTACTTTATTCACTAAATGTTTTACAGTTAAGTCTGTAAGATTGTTAGAGTTGCCCAGCTGATATATTTTTGTACAGTTGAGCATAGTGTTATGGCAAGCTAAAAAAATGTCTTCATGTTTGAAAATAAGAACACTTATCAATGGAGGTAAAACAAATGATCTTTGCACAATTTATGTATTTAAAATTTCTAATGTATTTTTTTAGTATGAATCACTTCTATAGTCAGTTTTAATTTCACTCTCTTTTTCCCCTTAGGAACTCATCCAGTGTATTCTTATCCAACTTAGCAGAATGTTGCAGATTAGTCAGGGTAAACTATTTTTCAATAAGCTAAAAATGAAAACAAATTGCTTTGCTCTATATAACTTTTAAAAATATGTATGACTATAAAGATGAGCTGCATTTAATACTGAGTTTTACGTACCTAAATTTTGGGAGGATTGCTACCTGAACTGATTAAATCTACTTTCAAACCTTCACTATGAAGTCTGTACATGAGTTTCTTAGATTCTAGTACCAAATAGGAAGTTTTAAAAACAGTGACAGAGCTGATTATATTTTCCTGCCAGAGAAATAATCTCGCCCAATAGGAAAGGGATTTTCTTAAAAGCAAGCTAATTTGGAAAGAGAAAAGGGAGAGAAAAAGTAAAACCATACCCTGCTAAAGAGATGCTTAAACAGACAATAGCTGTAAATGGAGATTCAGATATTGCTGTCAGGCCGTCTTAGTTACCTAAGGGTCAGCATTCTTTTTTATTTTCTTTTTTTTTCTTTTTGAGACGGAGTCTTGCTCTGTCGTCCAGGCTGGAGTGCAGTGGTGCAATCTTGGCTCACTGCAACCTCCGCCTGCTGGGTCAAGCAATTCTCCTGCCTCAGCCTCCCGAGTAGCTAGGATCACAGGTGCATGCCACCATGAATGGCTAGTTTTTTTGGTTTTTTTTGAAACGGAGTCTCACTCTGTCACCAGGCTGGAGTGCAGTGGTATGATCTCGGCTCACTACAAACTCCGCCTCCTTGGTTCAAGCGATTCTCCTGACTCAACCTGCCGAGTAGCTGAGATTACAGGCACATGCTACCACACCCAGCTAATTTTCGTATTTTTAGTAGAGGCGGGGTTTCACCATGTTGGCCAAGGCTGGTCTCGAGCTCCTGAGCTCAGGGATTATAGGCATGAGCCACCGCTCCTGGCCGGGTCAGTATTCTTGACAAAGTAGTGTAGAGATATTGTGTAATACATTCACAGGAGTTAATTTAACTTTTATATTTTTAGACCTCCAGATTCCCTCTTTCAAAAAAAAAAATCATTGCTATGAAAAAGTAGAAACACTAATTTGTAAAATGTAATCTTACTATGAGCCAGACATTGAACTATAATTTATATATTATCTTAGTCCATTCAATCTCTATAAAAATGCCTTAGACTTGGGAGGCCAAGGCAGGTAGATCATCTGAGGTCGAGAGTTCGAGACCAGCCTGACCAACATGGAGAAACCCCATCTCTACTAAAATACAAAATTAGCCAGATGTGGTGGCACATGCCTGTAGTCCTAGCTATTTTGGAGGTTGAGGCAGGAGAGTTGCTTGAACCCAGGAGGTAGAGGTTGCAGTGAGCAGAGATAGCACCAATGCACTGCAGCCTGGGCAACAAGACAAGAGCAAAACTCCGTCTCAAAAAAAAAAAAGATCTTAGACTGGGTAATTTATGAACAAAAGTAATCAGAAATTTATTGTTCACAGTTCTTCTGGAAGTTGGGAAGTCCAAGATCAAGGCATAACAGTTTGGTGTCTGGTGAGGCCCTGTAACTCATGGATGGTGCCTTCTATGTTCTCACATGGTGGATGGGCAAACAGGACTTTTCAACCTTTGTTTCTTAAAGGCACTATTTCCATTCCTGAAGGCAGTGCCCTCATGATTTAATCACTTCTCTAAATGCCCCACTTTTTAGTAGTACCCTATTGGGTATTAGGTTCCAACATGTGAATTTTGGGAGTGACATCAAATTTCAGACAATAGTTTATATATATTTCATATAACTGTATAATATATGTGTGTTTATCTATAGTGGCAAATAAAATTATGAAGTCCTCACTTCTCGGGCACTGATCCAAGTGTATTCACAAATATTAATTTAAAACAAAATAACTATATCAGGTAGGTGCTATTATTGTAATCCTCATTTTATAGAAACTGTGGGGAAAATAGATGAAGTGAATTCCCCACTGCTGAAAATTGGTAGAGCTAATATTTAAACCCCGCAATCTGGCTTGAAGACAATGTTCTTAAACACTATGCAGCATGGCTTTGTTTATAAGTCCCATATGATTTAATCTTGAGAATAACTTGACACAGTAGATAATTATATTGAATTCATTATCTAAATAAAGCATCTGAAAATTACTGAAGTTTAATTCATTTTAATGAGTACATGCCTATAAAGTTCTGAAGCAGGTACTTAGAGTTGCCTAACTTTATATCACATTCATCTAACAGCTATCAGATAAATAAACTCTACATTCCATTCCATTTTATATCTTGTAGGAAATGGTCTCATTCATGGTCATAAGTGCCCAAAATTTTATTAATTTTTATATATTTTCAAAGTACAATGTGTAGTTATTGCTTATACTAACATATGCATTTTCCTGTTGGAAAGCAGGCTTAAAGATGATATTTTCAATATGGAACAATACAGGTGATCATAAACAGAATGTCACTTAACAAAGAAAACAGTTGAACATTTAGAACCTCTTATTAGCAAACATTATTAATTTTCACTTACTTTCACAAAGATTATAGGGTTGTAAAGGATTATGGTAGTAAAAATGAGCACTTAAGTTTCGTAATTGAATATTGGATTCCCTAGATGTGGTCTAAAATTTTAATGATTATCTTTAAATGTGCTGAGCACAAAGACTACTTTCTTAATCGCTCAGAGAAAACTGTCTAAAGCCCAGTCTTTTGCTTGTCTCTTTCCTGAAACATGAAAATTTAAGGGAAAAAATAATAGTGTTAAGGATTTCATTAAAATTTTAATAAAGTGCTGGGCTTTTTTCAACATAGACATGCTTTGAAGTAAAGATATTTCAAATCTAGCATATTGCCACAAAATTATTATTAAACCATTCTTTGAAGTTCCAGATGTTTGTAATTCCAGGAACTTACTTTGACATGATATAGAACAACTTCAGTAATGTAAGATATTACTGTAAATTCAAAAATTCCCCAAATCCTTAAATTTAGGTATATTTCTCACTTAAAGACAAGAAAGTACAAACATTTTACCTATGTTTTGTGTTTAATGTAGCTCATAATGAAGAAAAATACAAGGGATATTAATGGTGGAAAGCTACATAATTAACAGCATGAACTTAGTTTGCTAAGTGATGTCAGACATTATAGCAATAGCTAAGACAGAAATGTTATATTCACAATACAAAGGCAAAGTTGTAGGCAACTTTTCAAAGCATTTCCTATGTATATGGGTTATGTTTAATATTAGTAGTCTTGATTAATTATTTGTATTCCCAATTGCAGTTTGTTGGGAATAGGCCCCCCAAAATCTGGCCATAAACTGGCCCCGAAACTGGCTATAAACAAAATCTCTACAGCACTGTGACATGTTCATGATGGCCATAACGCCCACGCTGGAATGTTGTGGGTTTACTGGAATGAGAGCAAGGAACACCTGGCCCACCCAGGGCAGAAAATCGCTTAAAGGCGTTCTTAAACCACAAACAATAGCATGAGCGATCTGTGTCGTAAGGGCATGTTCCTGCTGCAGATAACTAGCCAGACCCTCCCCTTTATTTTGGCCCATCCCTTCGTTTCCCATAAGGGATACTTTTAGTTAATCGGATATCTATAGAAACAATGCTAATGACTGGCTTGCTGTTAATAGATACGTGGGTAAATCTCTGTTCAAGGCTCTCAGCTCTGAAGACTGTGAGACCCCTGATTTCCCACTTCACACCTCTGTATTTCTGTGTGTGTGTCTTTAATTCCTCTAACGCCACTGGGTTAGGGTCTCCCCGCCCAAGTTGGTCTCGGCACAGTTAATTTTGGTGCTGTGTATTTTTTACATTTTATTTTCTCCCAAATGTCTAACTATGAAAACTTCTAAACATAGAGAAAAGATAAAAGAATCACTCAGTGAATATAGTAATACTCTATAACTACCACCTTTAACATTTACAAAAAAATTGTTAATTTTGATACATTTGTTTCATGATATATTTGACTATTCATTCTTCAATCATCTTATTTTTGATGTATTTATATACTTTATTCCCAAGTATTTACAAATACATACATTAAGTTGAGTTTCATATTTTGGAGGGGTAAAATTTACATGAAGTGGCATGCAAAAAAAATTAATCTAAGTGTAATTTTAAGTCATCTTAGTCTTGTTTCTGCTTTAAGTTTTGCATCCTTCTTCTACAGCAGATGTCCCTGTTTCACTATAATTCATATCTTCTAAATGGCAAAAATCACAAAGAATTCTGTTGTTTCCTAGCCCTTAGCCAATATGCTATTTATTCTCATCGGGATACTAATGTGTCATTTAGCTTTGTTCTAGACTGTTCTCATCACATTCTTACAAGAATATTGCACCAAAGGAGGCAGCCATCAACATTTAGTAGTAGCAGGGGCAAACAGAAACAAACACAAAAATGCCAAAGCACAAGATAATTAATTCCTAAATGAAAGGTCATTTATAATTGGGGTATACAAAAGTGACATTATGAAAATTAATAATCAAGACTTCATATAGAGGATCTATTTTCCTGACAAAAGGTACCCTACATGAACCTCAGTTGTATTATTATGTGCTATTAAAGGCCATGTTGTTAGCCTAAAGGCATGGTACATTGCTAATGTGAAATGTTGCCTGAGGTTTACAAATGATAACACTTGATTTTTAACAAGCCACCCTACAAAATCAATTACCTCTGCTATAAATAAATTCTTATTGGCTTTATAAATAATTTACACTAAGGGTTATATAGTACCAGAATGTTTCCATTGACCTCAAGAAGAATTTTGTCACTGTAGTCTTATGCCATCACTAAAGAGCATTTTTCATAGAGTTAAAAATTGACAAAATACAATGCTTAAAATTTTAATATCTACAAAATGTATAATTTCTTTAATTTCCTAGGAAGTTCCATATTCATACAATTTTAATGTAACTTAGGGTCTAAAACATCCCATCTCAAATTCTATCAATGGGTTTTTTCTAAAGGAGATCACAATAAATATGAAAAATATTTCTTTCACACTATGTATTAAAAAATATATTTCAAGATATCAGAGTGAATCAAACTCTTAGTGAATATCAAATATTGTTAGGGGAAGCTATAAATTGCTTATATGTACCATATTAGCTAAAAAAATGACATAAGATTATGATCCTTCTTTGTATCTTGTCATCAGTTCAATAATGACAAAAAAAGTTTAGGCAAGTGCCAATTACAAATAAAGCTCTAAATGTAGTCTATTTTTATTTTTTCTTTCAATTTTTTTATTATACTTTCAGTTTGGGGATACATGTGCAGAATGTGCAGGTTTGTTACATATATATACACATGCCATGTTGGTTTGCTGCACCCAACAACCTGCCATCTATATTAGCTATCTCTCCTAATGCTATCCCTCTTGTAGCCCCCCACCCCCCAAACAGGCCCCGGTGTGTGATGGTCCCCTCCCTGTGTCCATGTATTCTCCTAGTTCAAGTCCCACTTATGAGTGAGAACATGCAGTGTTTGGTTTTCTGTTCCTGTGTTAGTTTGCTGAGAATGATGGTTTCCAGCTTCATCCATGTCCCTGCAAAGGACATGAACTCAGTCTTTTTTATGGCTGCATAGTATTCCATGGTGTATATGTATCACATTTTCTTTATCCAGTCTATTATTGGTGGACATTTGGGTTGGCTCCAAGTCTTTGGTATTGTGAATAGTGCCACAATAAACATACGTGTGTATGTGTCTTTATAGGAGAATGATTTATAATCCTTTGTGTATATACCCAGTAATGAGATTGGTGGGTCAAATGGTATTTCTAGTCTAGATCCTTGAGGAATCGCCAGACTGTCTTCCACTAAGGTTGAACTAATTTACACTCCCACCAACAGTGTAAAAGTGTTCCTATTTCTCCACATCCGCTCCAACATCTGTTGTTTCCTGACTTTTTAATGATCACCATTCTAACTGGCAGAAGATGGTATCTCATTGTGGTTTTGATTCGCATTTCTCTAATAACCAGTGATGAAGAGCTTTTTTTTCATATGTTTATTGGACAGATAAATGTCTTCTTTTGAGAAGTGTCTGTTCATATGATTCACCCACTTTTTGATGGGGTTGTTTGTTTTTTTCTTGTAAATTTGTTTAAGTTCCTTGTAGATTCTGGATATTATTCTATTGTCAGAAGGATAGATTGCAAAAATTTTCTCTCATTCTGTAGGTTGCCCATTCACTCTGATGATACTTTCTTTTGCTGTGCAAAGCTCTTTAGTTTAATTAAATCTCATTTGTCAATTTTGGCTTCTGTTGCTATTGCTTTTGGTGTTTTAGTCATGAAGTCTTTGCTCATGCCTATGTACTGAATGGTATTCCCTAGGGTTTTTTAGGGTTTTTATGGTTTTAGTCCTTATGTTTAAGTCTTTAATCCATCTTGAGTTAATTTTTGTATAAAGTGTAAGGAAGGGGTTCAATTACAGTTTCTGCATATGGCTAGCCAGTTTTCCCAACACCATTTATTAAATAGGGAATCCTTTCCCCATTTCTTGTTTTTGTCAGGTTCGTCAAAGATCAGATGGTTGTAGATGTGTGGCATTATTTCTGAGGACTCTGTTCTGTTCCACTGGTCTATACATCTGTTTTGGTACCAGTACCATGCACTTTTGGTTACTGTAGCCTTATAGTATAGTTTAATAGCCTACCAACCAAAAAAAGCCCAGGACAAGATGGATTCACAGCGAAATTCTACCAGAGGTGCAAAGAGAAGCTGGTACCATTCCTTCTGAAACTATTCCAAACAATAGAAAAAGAGTTAATCCTCCCTAACTCATTTTATGAGGCCAGCATCATCCTGATACCAAAACCTGGCAGAGACACAACAAAAGAAGAAAATTTCAGGCCAATATCCCTGATGGACATCGATGTAAGAATCCTCAATAAAATACTGGCAAACTGAATCCAGCAGCACATCAAAAAGCTTATCCACCATGATCAAGTCAGCTTCATCCCTGGGATGCAAGGCTGGTTTAACATATGCAAATCAGTAAACATAATCCATCACATAAACAGAACCAATGACAAAAACCACATGATTATCTCAATAAATGCAGAAAAGGCCTTCGATATACCTCAACATCCCTTCATGCTAAAAACTCTCAAAAAATTAGGTATTGATGGAACATATCTCAAAATCATAAGAGCTATTTATGACAACCACACAGCCAATAACATACTGAATGGGCAAAAAGTGTAAGCATTCCCTTTGAAAACCGGCATAATACAAGGATGCCCTCTCTCAACACTCCTATTCAACATAGTATTGAAAGTTCTGGCCAGGGCAATCAGGCAAGAGAAAGAAATAAAGGGTATTCAAATACGAAGAGGGGAAGTCAAATTGTCTTTGTTTGCAGATGACATAATTGTATATTTAGAAAGCCCCATCGGCCGGACACAGGTGGCTCATGCCTGTAATCCCCGCATTTTGGGAGGCCGAGGTGGGCGGATCCCAGGGTTAGAAAATCGAGACCATCCTGGCTAACACAGTGAAACTCCATTTCAGCTAAAAAAAGAAAATACAAAAAGTTAGCCAGGCGTGGTGGCGGGCACCTGTAGGCCCAGCTATTCAGGAGACTGAAGCAGGAGAATGGTGTGAACCCGGGAGGCGGAGCTTGCAGTGAGCCAAGATTCTGCCACTGCACTGCAGCCTGGGTGACAGAGTGAGACTCCATCTCAAAAAAAAAAAAAAAAGAAAGCCCCATCGTCTCAGCCCAAAATCTGTTTAAGCTGATAAACAACTTCAGCAAAGTCTCAGGATATAAAATCAGTGTGCAAAAATCAGTAGCATTCCTATACCCCAATAATAGCCAAACAGAGAGCCAAATCATGAGTGAACTCCCATTCACAATTGCTAAAAAGAGAATAAAATACCTAGGAATACAACTTACAAGCGATGTGAAGGACCTCTTCAAGGAGAACTACAAACCACTGCTCCAGGAATTAAGAGAGGACACAAACAAATGGAAACACATTCCATGCTCATGGTTAGGAAGAATCAGTATCATGAAAATGGTCATACTGCCCAAAGTAATTTATAGATTCAATGCTATCCCCATCAAGCTACTATTAACTTTCTTCACAGAATTAGAAAAAACCTACTTTAAATTTCATATGGAACCAAAAAAGAGCCTGTATAGCCAAGACAATCCTAAGCGAAATAACAAAGCTGGAGGCATCACAGTTCCTGACTTCAAACTATACTACAGGTTTTTTTTTTAATCCAAATAAGAGGATCCTCAATATTTAGAAATTAAATGCTTTGTATTTTATCATTTATAATTCTTCAGAACCATTTTATTTTGCAGTCTCTCACTTTTCATCATAGTACAAAAATTATTGCAAATTCTAAAATTAATGAAGGTAATCCAAACTCTGAGACTGAATTTCAGTGTTCATTTCAGGTCACCTTGCGATAGTCAACCCAGGATATTAGGTAAGCAGCCTCTTTCTCAGTTATAATCCATAAAGTCCAATAATGTTTAAAGGTAATTATTTTACTCCTGCTATGAAACTTCCACATTTCAAAACTGTTAAATTCAAACAATTTTCATTTTAGCAAATGACACCATCATCTGTGTGACAAAATGATACTGTCTAAGGTAGCACAAAAGGAGCAAGCAAAAAGTGCAAGCCATTTAAACAAAAAAGATAAAGTGGATTTCTGTTTGTTTGTTTGTTTGTTTGTTTGAGACGGAGTCTAGTAGGGTCGCCCAGGCTGGAGTGCAGTCGCGCCATCTCGGCTCACTGCAACCTCCGCCTCCCCAGTTCAAGCGATTCTCCTGCCTAAGCCTCCTGAGTAGCTGGGACTACAGGCGGACGCGCCACCACGCCCAGCTAATTTTTTGTATTTTTAGTAGAGACAGGGTTTCACCATTTTGGCCAGGATGGTCTCGATCTCCTGACCTCATGATCCGCCCGCCTCGGCCTCCCTAAGTGCTGGGATTACAGGCTTGAGCCACTGCGTCCGGCCGGATTTCTAAAAAATAACAAATTCACCTAAATCCATAGTTTTATTCCAATGTGATATAATAGCACAGTAACTTTATTTAAAAGTAGGTAAGGATAATAAAACATCATCATGTATTACTGTTTTCTCATAAAATAATAAAATAAAATATTCACTAACAAACAGTTGAAAAAAAGTATGTTTTTTTCAGAAAATGTACCAGCAAAGCCGTTTAAACTAAATAGTACCTAACACTATGCAATAACTTTTTTTCCATTTAACGTAGGTTTATTCAGCAATAGTGTTATAGGCAATGTGGCATCCCGCTTTTAGGGAACAGAAGGAAGAATTGTGGGAGGTGAAGCTGTATATGTTAAGAGAAACTTTGAAATATTCTAGAAATAAAAATGCTGCTCATTCATCTGTTGACTTCTTCATGCTAAAAATAGTCTGTTGATCTAGTTCATAAACGGATTTTATAGTAGATGCCAAAGCAAACTACCCTGCCCCAGAAGTCGATTTATTCATGAACCAAATCTAAAGATCTGTGCTGAACCAATTCAGCTTCGGAAGGAGAAAGCACATCTAGTTGGAACTGGCATTTGCCTAGGAGTTGGGCATTGAGTCAGCAATCTGACCTTAAACATCATTTCTCCTCTACTCTATCCTCTATTTTCTGAAAACTTCTTATGATTTTCACTTTGTTTTAGCATTGATAGTTGATAAATAATTATGTTATAGATCTCCAGGAGGTATTTGTCAGCCAAAAGGTCCAGTATTAGGCTACTGATTTGCAAATGACCAGGCGGAAGGACATGTAATTTAATAATTAAGCAAATTACTCTGGAGCCAGTGGAATAACTCAAAATCCTGGCTCCACCATTTGCTACCAAGTTACTTGAAATAGTCTCTCTGTTGTCTCATTTGTAAGATAATTATAATTATAGGACATACCTTATAGAACAATTGTAACAGGTATGTAAAATATACTTTAAATTCTTAGAACAGAGCGAGGTTCATGTTATATACTAACTCTGGTTTCTCATGGAGCTAAATTCTAATAAGAGAAATGTAAAAGATATCTGAAAATAAAAAACCAAATGCATAACTTTGTAAAAGGCTGAAACTACATGTCAGTTTTGTGTTTGGATCTTAATATACTAGACATGACCACATGTAACTTTATATATTTTCTTTTCTTTCTGCTGAAGTTGCAAGAGAATGTGTTCATGTGGAGTTTTTTTCAATGGTGATATTTTAAACCGAGACCTCAAGTTCAGAAGAATATCTATAGCTATTTTAGGTCTTGGACCTCTAAAAACCTCTCTGAGGTTTCCGTAATAATCAAAAGAGGCCTAAATGGATTTCTGATTGATAAACAGCTTGATAAATATATTAACTTATCCAAAAACAAACATTTAGGCACCATCTTGTCCTCTAGGAGCTTATATTCTAATGAGAGCCAGAGACAAAGAAAATATTAGAAAACAACATGATATTGCTAAGATAGAGGACTTCATAAGATGACATGGCAACGCATCAGAAAGGCACTCGGCTGAATCAAATGCAGTCAGGAAGAAGAGAGGTGCTGAAAGGTGAACTGTTGTTAACCAAATGGAATGGGAGGAAAAGATAACCAAGGAGCCAGGGGAACAGCATATTTAAAGGCAGACCATGTAGTCTGAGCTAGACGAGAAGTGCAAGATTAAGCTGAAATTTCCTAGAACAGGAAATTTAAACAATAATCAAGAATAAATCTATGGCCACACAATGATTAGGCTGAGAAGTGATGAGCATGCTAAGCAGAATGGGAGACTTTTACAGATATTTAGTTGCAGAACTGTATATAAAAGAGGCTATTAGCATGTGATCTGGCATGAAGGGGAGAGTCTACCATGACAGTCAAGACTATCCACATATTTTGGTATGAATAGAAGAGCTTGAAACAGTGAAAGGATGCCCAAAGATTGTTTTGTTTTTAAAATTTGTACCCAAAATATTCAAATTATTTTTGACTATGGAATACTGATGGAACAGGAACTAGGAACTAACTCAGAGATCTATATGCAAGAGGACATTACATATCTGAATGGAGAATCTATCAAACAAAATGCCTTGGCATGAATAATAAATACAAGTAAAAAAAGAGAAACAGTCAACCTGTGGTATTGAATGTAGGTGGGGATATGGAAAATGATAAGCTAAAAAGATAAGCCTAAATGCAAATGCTTTATTTCTGCCAAGCCAAGTTGGACAATATTCTTAAAGCAATAAAGAAAAGCTTCAAGTTTTTAAGCAGGGTTTATGCATGACATCATTCACCTCACAAAAAGATTTCTCTGGAAGTAGTGGAAGACTTATAACAGGCATTGAGGTCAATTTTGTAGTTACGTCATGATGCTACTGAAAATGATGAAAAACTGAGCTAAATCACACCGTATTGTTAAATTTCTAAAGATTATAAGAAATAATCCATTATATTATAGTAAAACCTTTAGGCTATTTGAACTGTTACCCTCTGCCCTAACCTCCATATATGTTCACTGCCATTGAGATTTATGTGTGCATTTTTTATTTGTAATTGAAGAAATAGAAATTCAGTTGACCCTATGCTCAGGAGGATAGATGATGACAATAAAGAGGAGGGCATGATTTGTGAATCCCCAAATATTGGATTGTATTTAAAGAACAGATTTTTTTATTGCTCTTTCCTTAATTATGTCAGACATGGCTTTTTTGAGGCCCAGGTGAATAAAAATGGGCTGTACTAGATAGATGAGAAATGAGGCTAATTGCATCCACAAAATGTATCTTTTTGTCTGTATGATTATTCTGAGCCTACCCTAGAGTTGATGTCCTTTGGTAAGCAGTCATACAGAACACAAATATCCACACATTTCAGCTCATTTTTTAATATCCATTCACAATCCTCTTCCCTAGATACACTTGGAATCAATTTTCCAGTCCTGTTTTTTCCGTATTTCTACTTGTCAAGCCAAGAAATTAGCAAGCCTATTAATCAGTGTAGATCTATAATTTTGACTGTTAGTACAGGATAAGTAAATATAATAGATTGCATTATTTAGCCCCAATTGTTATCCCCTCTCTGAATTCTTACCCTTTGCCATGATACATTGCAGTGCCCTTACAATGCCAGAATGATCTTCAAATCTTGACTGTACTAAGCCATATGATTTGTTTTGGCCAATGTCATGTTATTATATTGGATGCAGCTAAAGATTTGAGATGAATGTAAACATTAAGGATTGATCTCTAGCCTCTTGATTTCTAACTATCAAAGTAGCTCCCTGATCTCAGGAGGAAGATGAGAGACATGTAAAACCAACAGCATATCTCACCACATAAGCATGACACCTGAAATTAACTTGAGCCCAGCCTATCACAGCTGAACCTGAAAATGCATGAGAAATGAATGTTGATTGCATAATATCACTGAGGCACTATATATGATATTTAGCAATCTTGTAGGAATATCTAACAGGTACAGGAATTTTTAGCAATGGCAAACCAATATGGCACCAATTGAGTTGTTCAACATTCTCCTCAAAAAGATTTTTTTACCACTGCTCTTCAGGGACTCTTATTTAGGATTATCATGTTATGCTGCATCAGTCAATTTCTGATTAGTGTCAGCATATTGCTTAAAACAAAAAAAAATCAAAATCTTTATTTATGATTTTTGTCAATGGTTATAAAGAGCTTCCTTGAAAATCATGCTATGGATTAAGAAAGAGGCAATGAAGCCGGAGTAAGTATCATAAGTGTGTGAGCTCTCTGCTCATACAAACGATTTATATGTTCAGGACCTACTTGATCCAGTCCTATATACCACTTCCACTTCATAGTGAATTTAGGACAAAGTTATGTCTTAATGTATTAGACAATATTTAGTTCATTAGTTTATTGTGCACAGCTCAAGCCAGATAGTCACCTGATGTCCTATAGTCAGGTCTTTGGTCAAATAAGAAGCCAAGAGCTGTTTCTAAAAAAGAAAGTTTTTATCTGCAGAAGTTGACTCAGCTTTCCTCTAGGATCTATGGGTCAGCTCTCTCGATTTCTATTCTTAGATGCTCATCACACATTCCTTTTGACAATTCTATTTTTGAAGATCATTTGGGTATCATGAGACTGTTTTATCATTGGGTCCAAATGGCATATTATATCTGACTGCAGTTCAAACCAACCACCTTTTGAGATTTCAAAGCTGGCATAACCAGTAAATATTTGGGAGTATCAAATTAAAATGTATTTGAGTCCTGCTTCTAAACCCAAATACCAAAAAGAATTTTGCCTCTTTTTTAGAGATAGGTGCAGCGAGTTATATTTAACTTTGAAGCAGATATTCCAAATTGTTCTATACTTTGGATTCCCAGGAAGAGGTGGCAGGCCATATATTTTTGTTTTATGTGCCACTTACTAGAAAAAAAGTCATCTAAGGTTCTTCCCAAGTTTTTCTCATTAGGTTCCACTATCATGATGCCATTATTTAACGGATCAATAAAGTACAAAGGGATGTGTTCAAATAACTTTGAAAGAGGTGACAGTAGATACTAGTAAATTTGACATAGCTCTATGGCAAGGCATGAATGGAAGGTATACCATTGCGTATTAGATTTCTCCAGATAAACATAAAAGAGAACCAGTAGGATGCCATATCTGTTAGGATGCCATAGATCTGTTTTGCACTCAGGAAATAGTCATGCAGTCACTATGCTAATTCAGAGTATGTATTTACTGCCCTTTGAATTTGGGCCAAAATGCTATTTTTAATATGACCACTCAAAACACCCATTTTGACTGGTGGACCCCAGTGTCATTTTGGGGTCCTCAATAACTGCATTTAACATACAGCCAGTTTCTAATAACTCTCAGAATGAATGGGTGATTTCTCATGCAGAGATATCCTAGATAGTGGCTATGTTTACTCCTGGGGAAGGACTTCAGGTGCAGTTACATTATATACTGATGTCAATATTGTATTATCCTTTCTCAAGGAAGCTCAGGCTTCCATTAATGAGCATTTAAACTGGCTTAAGTCTGAACATTTGATGTTAAGATCAGTGACTTGACACTTTAGCTACACAAGTCAGGTTTTTGACAATGAGCCTAGAGGATTTCCTGTTATAAATCAAGTAATATTTTAGTTCACTACCATTTATTTTATTCCTAGATACATACAGATCAGTTAGACTTTGTGGTTAGATTGTGAGACAGGGTAGATGATAACTTTGGGTTCTCAGCCAAGGGGAGAGAATCAACTGCGGGACCTGAAAATGTTCTCTGGCTTCACAATTGTATGAGAGGCTTCATTTCCTAATCTCTGTTGTTACATGTATGTATTTAAACACACACATAATTCCACATATAGAGATGTAGTTTATGGGTTAACAAAGCTCTCAGAGTTTTACCCTATCCTGATTTTTGATTTTGTTTGCCTTTGTAATCTGTCATTAAATTCTAGGGACTTAATTCATATATATATATATATATATATATATATATATGAATTATATATATATTCTGGACTATATATATATATATAGTCCTGGAAATGGAGGTGACTTCTCCATAATACCAGAATTATGAAAGTATAATTTATATATGTTTTGAATTTCACCATATCCTTTTGGCTGAAATGCAATTATTCCATACATATTCTCATTAATGGGAGCCCTAGCCTCCTTGAGAAAAGATAATACAATATTGGCATAAGTATATATTGTAACTATACCTGTGTACTCTTAAAATTTATTTCTTTACTTGAGCCTGGAGTATATTTTGTGAATAATAATTTATTCAATTGGATTTTTACAAATATCATAAAACATTTGTAATATATATTGAAAATATATTTTTATTATAAATATATTAATTTTAATATTTCATTTGATAGTTTTTCTCTTGCATTTTCTCTCTTGCTGACTCTTTTATTCTATCCTTCTTTCTTTTTTTTTTTGTTTTTCTTCATCTTTTAAAAATCCTTCACACTTTGTTGGCCAGGAAGCATCTCCTCACTAAAATAAACATTACTGTATTTTTATTTGATACCTCATTGGGATAGCACTGTATGTAAAGATGCCAATCATAAAATAGTATAGAAGTATTTGCAATGTAACTTCAACCTCACATATGATTTTTTTGGCAAAAACTTATTGAGAAGACAAATAATAAAATAATGATATGAGATACTGTCATTGTCCCAACTTAAAGGTAAAGAACCACAAATTACACTCAAGCTTGATACTAAATTAAAATAACATTAAATTAAAGGGAAGATCAGGGGGATCAAGTTTTAGATTACTGATGCTTTCACAGAAATTTCTTGCACGATGCCTAGATATCAAGTCACCCTGTTGAATGTTGATCTTATGTTTTGTCACCATAAAATTTTTATTAAATTGGAGAAAGTGTTAAGTCTGATATGCTTAAGGAGGTGATGAGAGAGGGGAGATCTTTGAGAAATTAAGAAAATTGAATGACAGTAAATGAAATTTAATATAAATCAAAATCCAAAACATAGAAAAGTAAAAGCGAAGTGTGACGACTGTTTCTCTAGAAAGATAGTTCTCTTGGTTCATAGTGGCAGTTGGCTTTCTAATTACACGAGAAAAACTTAGTACTGGAGATTATGTATGATGTAGCCCCTTAGTAAATTTACTTCAATTAATTGTTGACAAATGCGTATAAGATGAAAAACAAAATTCTAGAAAAGGTGAAGACTGTGGCCAGGAAAAGTTATCATGCTTCTCTCAAGGTTTTCCTTTTTATACAGAAAGCAGAGTGAAAAAATTATCAAATAAAATTTTGTAGCCAAAAAAAAAGTCACTCTGCTTATGAGCATCCTTCTAAAATTTTTTCCTGTAATCTTGTTGGAAGCAAAAGAGCAAATGATCATAATCATATTAATGCTAGCCTTAAAGATAGCAGATTTCTTAAATAAATTGAATTTATAATCGTTGTGCACATGTACCCTAAAACTTAAAGTATAATAATAATAAAATTTAAAAAAAGAAAACATAAAAATAAATAAATAAATAAATAAATAAATTGGAAGTGCTCATTTACAGTTTGCATGTGAAACAGAATTCTCAAAAAATATAGAAATTGATAGGTTACTTTTAAAATTTTTTCTGAGGTTATCATTACATATTGCTTGAGAGAAAAAGATAAATCAAAATCTTACTTTTTAATATTAAACACACAAAAATGGAAAAGTTCATTAATGTAAAATTTTTGGTGGCTATTGATTATTTAATGAGAAAATAGAAAAGATAATAGTCAAAGCTAAGCAGAAAAGCATGCAGATAATTTTTAATACTGAACATGAACAAAAGTAATTTACCGTTTTGTCCAAGGTAAATACTGGAGGAAGCCATCAACATTAAGCAAAGCTAGGATTCAATCTGTATTCAAAGTTTCTGACTTGATTAAGTAGGAAGCCAGATGGTTTATCCAGGAAAAAGCTCAATATTACAAAAATTAGGACAACAGAGTATTTGGTTGTTTTAAGGAGATTAAGTGAGGGAGAAGTACTTTTCTCAGCAAATCTTGGCCTCTGGAATTTCATTTGTCATTTAGCAAGATGACTTAACAGAGTTGCATGCTGCATTCCTAGTGAATTCAGCAAATGAAGACTCCAATCTCTGTGGGAGCTTTGCCCCCGATCTTTTAAAAATCAGCTATACGAGAACTAACAAGGAACTGTGACTATATAATAAATAGAGAGGGGCAGATTATTCATAGCTTTTCTGGTTTTTTCAGGAAAGTTTTTATACAATCATTTGAGTCTTACAGTGGGACCCTAATAGATGAAAGAAGATCCCTCATGGAGTGTTTAAGTTTTAATAAAACAGGTGAAAGAAAGTCCCGTTTGGCTGGAAAAATACAAGTGTCTACCTGATTTGGTGTCTTTGACTTTCCTGTAAGCAAGGATTTAGACACCATTATTACAACTGTCAGTGAAAGCTTTCGCTATGAAAGGGATGAACACAGATTAAAAGAGATCTACTGTGTAGACACAACTGAGAAGCTATCAGAACTTTGCTTAAAGAAACATTGCCTAGTATTTTTCTCTTCCCAGTTTACAACCAGAAATCTAACTTAATGTGAGAAAAGATCATAAAAATGTGAACATTGTGGGAGGCATTCCAAATTGTAGAGTCTGAGGTCCCAGTTGATGGCAGTGGATATTCAGGATGCTACGATGAATGCTTCTATTTACAGAGGACCCCCCAAATTGACTTCATTTAATAATTACCCTGACTCATCTAGAGCCAAAAGCCAAAGTGTATTAACTCACAGCAGTTTTGAAACCCTGAGGTTCATAAAGGTCTACCCCACGAAAACATTTCATGCCCTCTACCCATGCCTCAAGTCTGATTTACATAGATAATAAGGTACTTTAAAAATTATTCATGTGTAGATTAGTTCATTACTTTTATGATGTGTTACCACATCAGGTGTGTAGACTGAATACATTTGAAATGCCATGCTAATACTTTATTTGTGGATAGCTCTTTCTAAAATTTTTATTGCTCTAATGTCTGGTATTTTCACAAATGTAAGGTTAGACTAGTTGTGCAATTTGCTAGTAGCAGGTACAGAAAAATCAGAGCTTTGGATGAGTAAAGGTTAGGAACAATGTCACTGGGACTAAGTATACCCAAACAAGGGGAGACCACAGTCTGAAGAATTTTGACACTTAACACCAATGAGAAGTTGATAAAAATACTCCATTTACCCTTATGTGATTATTACTTATTGTACACCTGTGTTGAAATACCTCATGTACTCCATATATATGTGTATGGGTGTGTATATATATATACCCCTACTATATACTCATAAAAATACAAAAAGTCAATTAATAAAAAAGTATACAGAGCTAAATTAGAAAGTGAACTTTGAAAGGGGATGAAGTATGTGCCTTGTAGGGACAATATTTTACAAAGCAACCCCTTTTTTGATGGCCTGCCAGGAGTGACACTCAAAATATGAGACCAAACTCTCAGAATGAGCACAGTGTAGATGCAGTGTTGAAGCAGAGTTGAAGCAGAGCCCTTGGGGAAACGACAAGGGTGATAGAAGGTGCTCACTGACTCAGGGAAGCACTCATTTGCCATTTAGCATACAGATTTTTCAATATTTTAAAAATGTGTAGTGATACCATTGCATACCAGTTAAATAGCAGCAATTTCAGCAGCATCCTCAGCTGGATGTGAAGGAGAGTCATGCAAAGGATCCAGGGGGTGGTCACTACACTAGTGCCCCCATGCTGACGCTGCTCTCCAGACCGCCCAATGCTACTAGTGGAAAGATCTTCATTCCCTTTAGTTTTTTGATGTGCAGATTACTTTCTTGTCATACTGTTCTGTAAATTCAGATTTTTCAGGGCATAGATGTTCACCTCTTTCTGCCCCCTCACTCATCCAAGGCCTCAAGACCCTTTTTTCTTCTTCCTCGTGGTCAGGGCTTCCTTGAATTTCCGTGGCCTGATACCAACATCTGCTGTTGTTGTAGAAGATGCTTCTATGGCCACCACTCTGGCTATTTCAACACAGAAAGTTAATCTTTTTCTTTATTCTATCTCCTCTTGTTGCTCCCTAAGGAGAAAAAGCTGTTTATAAATATTATGAGTCTACCAAAACTTTTTTCTTTTAGTAAAAACAATAAGCAATTCTTAGCAATTGGCATATATTAATTATAATTCCCTTTCTTCTTGGCAGTTCCTGTCGCAGACTTTTACTCATAGGACTTTTCTATTCTCCCACAAATGCCTTTGACTTTTATTGTTTTTCTGGGCTCAAAATCAGAAGAGATTATTGAAGGTCTTAAAAGTCAAGATGTTAGTTGACTCTGCGCCCTGAGACTTACTAGGTATGTGCCTTTGACCAAATTATTTCTCTTCCTTGATTTTATTCTTTCTGTGGCTGAATGGTATTCCATTGTGTAAACATACCACATATTTGTATGCATTCATCCATTTATGAACACTTAGATTGATTCCCTCTTTCTGCTGTTGTGAATAGTAATGCAGCAAACATAAGGGTGCAGGTATTCCTTTGATATATTTCCTTTCCTTTTGATAAACACTGATTAGTGGGATTCCTGATGGCATAACAATTTTATTATTAAGTTTTTGAGAAATCACCATACTGTTTTCCATAATGGCTGTACTAATTTAAATTCCCACCAACAGTATATGAGAGGTCCATTTTTTTGCGTCTTCACCTGTTTTTGTTACTTTTGTCTTATTGATAATAGCCATTTTAACTGGAGTAAGATGATATGCCATTGTGGTTTTTATTTTTACTTCTCTGATGATTAACGACGTTGAACATTTTTGTACAAACCTGTGGTAATTCGTATGTCTTCCTTTGAAAACTGTCTACATAGATTCTTTGCTCACTTTTTAATAGCATGATTTGTGTTGTTGTTGTTGCTGCTGTTGTTGTGTGTG
Organism: Homo sapiens; assembly: GCF_000001405.40. NCBI lineage: Eukaryota > Metazoa > Chordata > Mammalia > Primates > Hominidae > Homo > Homo sapiens. The sequence continues at coordinate 80,945,042 of NC_000003.12, forward strand.
TGTGTTTTGCTGCTGTGTTGTCTGAATTATTTGTATATTCCAGATGATAGTCTCTTGCCAGAGAAGCATTTCGCAAATATTTTCTCCCATTCAACATGTTATCTCTTCACTCTGTTGATTGTTTCCTTTGCTGTGCATGAGTTTATTAGTTTAATATAGTGCCACTTTTCTATTTTTGTTGCTGCCTGTGCTTTTGGGGTCTTAGCCATAAGATCTTTGCCTAGACCAATGAGCTGAAGTGTTTCCTCTTATGTTTTCTTATAGCAGTTTTATAGTTTTAGATCTAATGTTCAACTCTATAAATGAATTTTGAGTTGATTCTTCTATATGGTGAGAGATAGGGGTTCTATTTTATTGTTCTGCGTATGGGTATCCAGTTTTGCAAGGACCACTTATCAAAGAGGATGTCTATTCCCTAATGTATGTTCTTGGCTGTAAATATGTGGATTTATTTCTGGGTTTCTGGGTTCTCTATTCTGTTCCATTGGTTTATGTATCTTTTTTTTTTTTTTTTTTTGACGGAGTCTCACTCTGTCACCCGGGCTCGAGTGCAATAGCATGATCTTGCCTCATTGCAACTTCTGCCTCCTGGGTTCAAGCAATTATCCTGCCTCAGCCTCCTGAGTAGCTGGGATTACAGGTGCCCAACACCACATCCGTCTAATTTTTTGTATTTAGTAGAGATGGGATCTCATCATGTTGGCCAGGCTGGTCTCAAACTCCTGACCTCAGGTGGTCCACCTGCCTCAGCCTTCCAAAGTGCTGGGATTGTAGACATGAGTCACTGCAACTGACCTATGTGTCTCTTTATAAAGCAGTGACATGTTGTTTTAGTTACTATAGCTTTATGCTCTATTTTAAAGTCAGGTAGTGTGACACCTCTAGCTTTGTTCTTTTGCTCAGGTTTGCTTGAGCTATTCATGCTTTTCTTTTCTGGTTCCAGAGAAATTTCAGAATTTGAAATTTTCAGAATTTTCTACATCTGTGAAAAATGTCATTGGTATTTTCATAGACATTGCATTGAAACTGTACATTGCTTTGGGAGTAGTATGGTCATTTTAACAATATTAATTTTCCCAATCCAAGAGCATGGGCTGTATTTCCATTTGTTTGTTTTCTCAGCAATTTCTTTCATAAATGATTTGGAGCTTTATTTGAACAGATGTTACACCTTCTAGGTTAAATTCATTTCTAGTTTTTTTTTAAATTTTGTACCTATTGTAAATGAGATTGCTTACTTGATTTTTTAGCTAGTTTGTTATTAGTGTACAGGAACATTACTAATTTTTGTATGTTGATTTTGTATCCTGCAAGTTTACCGAACTTGCTTATCAGATTTAAGAGTTCTTGGGTGGTTTTACATTTTTTAAATAAATAAAAGATCATGTCATCTGCAAAGAGGGACCATTAGACTTTCCCTTTTCCAATTTGGATAGCTTTCATTTCTTTCTCTTGCCTGATTGCTCTGGCTAGGGCTTTAAATACATTGCTGAATAAGAGTGGTGAAAGTGAGCATCTTCGTCTAGTTTCAGTTCTTAGAAGGAAAACTTCCAACTTTTCTTCATCAGTATAATGTAAAATGTGGATTTTTCATATATGGCCTGTATTATATTGAGATATGTTTCATCTATGCCTAGTTTGTTGTGAGCTTTAACATGAAAGTATATTGTTTCTAGTTTTTGTCAAGGGATATCATGTTTTTCACTATAGGCTACATAGGTTCATAAATATCCCTTCTAAATTCTATAAAAAGAGTATTTCCAACCTGGTAAATCAAAACACAAGCTCCATTCTGTGAGATGAATTTATACATCACAAAGAATTTTCACAGATAGCTTGTTTCTAGTTTATGTCGCATGATATTAAGTTTTATACTATGGGCTTCAGTGGGCTCAGAAATACCCCTTCCAAAATTCGAAAAATAGAGTGTTTCCAACCTAGTGCATCAAAACAGAGGTTCCCTTCTGTGAGATAAATCCACACATAAGAAACCATTTTCACAGTTACTTTCTTTCTAGTTTTTATCCCGGAATTCTCTGTTTTTCACTATAGGCTTCAGTGGGCTCAGAAATGTCATTTGTAGATTCTACAAAAAGAGTGTTTCCAACCTGATGAATCAAAACACAGGATCCATTCTGTGAGATGAATCCACACATCACAAAGCATATTCACTGACAGCTCGTTTCTATTTTATATAACGGGTTATCCCATTTTTCACTACAGGATTCAATGGGCTCAGAAATGTCCCTTTGTAGATATTTCAAAAAGAGTGTTTCCAACCTCATGATTCAAAACACAGGTTCCATTTTGTGTATGAATCCACACATCACAAAGTATTTTCACAAATAGCTTATTTCTGCTTTTTATCATAGAATATTCAGATTTTCCTTACGGGCTTCAATGGGCTCTGAAATGTCCTGTAGTAGAGTCTACAAACACAGTGTTTTTAACCTGGTAAATCAAAACACAGGTTCTATTCTGTGAGATGAATCCATACATCATAAAGCATTTTCACAGATAGCTTGTTCCTAGTTTTTATAGTGGGATATTCAATTTTTCCTTATGAACCTCATTCGGCTCACATATGTCTCTTTGTGGATTCTACTAAAAGAGTGTTTCTAATCTGGTGAATAAAAACACATGTTCCATTCTGTAGGTAAATCCACAGATCCCAAACATTTTCACAAATATCTTGTTTCTAGTTTTAATCGTGGGATATTCTATTTTTCCTTATGGCCCTTAATGGGTTTAGAAATGTCTCTTTGTAGATTATACCAAAATTGTGTTTCCAAACTGGTGAATCAAAACACAGGTTCCAATCTGCGAGATGAATCCACACATCACAAAGCATTTTCACAGATAGCTTGTTTTAGTTTACATCGCGATGTATTTGGTTTTTCCCTATGGGCTTCAATGGGCTCAGAAACGTCAGTTCTTAGGTTTAACAAAAAGAGTGTTTCCAAGCTTGTGAATCAAAACACAGGTTCCATTCTGTGAGATGAATCCATACATCACAAAGCATTTTCAGAGATAGCTTGTGTTTAGTTTATATCATGGATGTTTGACTTTCCCTATGGGCTTCAACAGGCTCAGAAATGTCCCTTCATAGACTCTAACAAAAGCATGTTTCCAACCTCATGAATCAAAACACTAGTTCCCTTCAGTGAAATGAATCCACACATCACAAAATATTTTCACAGATAGCTTGTTTCTAGTGTTGGTTGCGGGATATTAGGTTTTTCACTACCAGCTACAACGAGCTCAGAAATGTCCCTTCTAAATTTTACAAAAAGAGTGTTTTCAACCTGATGAATCAAAACACAGGTTCCTTTCTGTTAGATGAACCCACACATCACAGAACATTTTCAAAGATAGCTGGTTTCTAGTTTTTATCGCAAGATATTCGGTTTTTCAATAAAGTCTTCAATAAGTTCTGAAATGTACTGTAGTAGATTCTACAAAAAGAGTATTTCCAACCTGAAAAATCAAACCACAGGTTCCATTCTCTGAGATGAATCCACATATCACAGAGCATTTTCACAAATAGCTTGTTTATAGTTCAGATCATGTGATATTCGGTTTTATACTATGGGCTTCAATAGGCTCAGAAATATCCCTTCCAAGATTCTACAAAGGGAGTGTTTCTAACCTAGCAAATCAAAACACAGGTTCCCTTCTGTGAGGCGAATCCACACATAAAATACCATTTCCACAGATACATTATTCCTAGTTTTTATCGTGGGATATTCTGTTTTTCACTATAGGCTTCAATGGGCTCAGAAATATCTTTTGTAGATTCTACAAAAAGAGTGTTTCTAATGAGGTGTATCAAAACACAGGTTCCATCCTGCGAGATGAATCCAGACATCGGAAAGCATACTCACTGATAGCTTGATTCTAGTTTTTATGGAGGGGTAATCCGTTTTTCACTACAGGATTCAATGGGCTCGGAAATGTCTTTTCATAGATATTTTAAAAATAGTGTTTCCAACTTCATGATTCAAAACACAGGTTCCATTTTGTATATAAATCTACACATCTGAAAGCATTTCCACAAATAACTTGTTTCCACTTTTTATCATGGGATATTCGGATTTTCACTACAGGCTTCATTGAGCTCTAAGATGTCATATAGGAGATTCTACAAACAGAGTGTTTCCAAACTGGTAAATCAAAACACAGGTTCCATTCTGTGAGATGAATTCATACATCACAAAGCATTTTCACCAACAGCTTCTTTCTAGTTTTTATCATGAGATACTCGATTTTCCTTATGGACTTCAATGGGCTCAGAAATATCTCTTCGTAGATTCTACAAGAAAAGTATTTCCAATGTGGTGAATCAAAACACAGGTTCCATTCTGTGAGATGCATCCACACATCACATAGCATTTTCACATATAGCTTGTTTCTTGTTTTTATAGTGGGATATTCGATTTTTCCCTGTAGCCTTCAACGGACTCAGATATGTCCCTTTGTAGATTCTGCAAATAGAGTGTTTCCAAGCTTGTGAATAAAAAAACAGGTTCCAATCTGTGAGATGAATCCATGCATCACAAAGCATTTTCACTAATAGCTTGTTCCTAGGTTATATCAAGGGATATTTGATTTTTTCTTACAAGCCTCAGTAGGCTCATGTATGTCCCTTCATGTATTCCACAAATAGAGTGTTTCCAACCTGGTGAATTGAAACACAGATTCCATTCTGTGAGATGAATCCACTCATCACAAAGCATTTTCAAAGATTGCTTGTTTCTAGTTTTTATCAGGGGATATTCTGTTTTTCACTGTAGGCCTAAATGGGCTCAGAAATGTCCCATCACAGATTCTACAAAAAAGTGGTTTTTCAACCTGTTAAATCAAAATGCAGGTTACATTCTGTGAGATATATCGACATATCATGAAGCATTTTCATAGATAGCTTGATTCCAGTTTCTATCGCTGGATATTCTATCTCCTTATGGGCGTCAATAGGCTCAGGAATGTCCCTTCATATATTCAACAAAAAGAGTGTTTCCATCCCGGTGAATCAAAACACAGGTTCCATTCTGTGAGATGAATCGACACATCACAAGGCATTTTCACAGATAATTTGTATATAGTTTTTATTGCAGGATATTCCATTTTCCTTATGATCTTCAATGGACTCAGAAATGTCCCTTTGGAGATTATACTAAATAGTGTTTCCCGCCTGGTGAATCAAAACACAGGTTTCATTCTGTGAGATGAATCAACACATAACAGAGCATCTTCACAGATAGCTTGTTTCTAGTTTTCATCTCGGGATATTCGGTTTTGTCTTATGGGCTTCAAAACAGTCAAATATGTCTCTCCGTAGATTCTACAAAAAGAGTGTTTCTAACCTGGTGAATCCAAACATAGCTTCCACTCTGTGGGATGAAACCACGCATCAAAAATCATTTTCACAGATAGCTTGTTTCTCATTTTTTTATCGTGGGATATTCAGTTTTTCACTATAGGTTTCAATGGATTCTGATATGTCGCTTTGTAGATTCTACAAAGATAGTGTTTCCATCCTGGTAAATCAAAATAGAGGTTCCATTCTGTGAGATGAATCCACACATCAGAAAACATTTTCACAAATAAGTTTTTTCTAGTTTTTATCACGGGATATGCATTTTTACACTGTAGGCTTCAATGGGCTCAGAAATGTCCCTTCATAGATTGTACAAAAAGAGTGTTTCAAAACACAGTTTTCATTCTGAGAGACGAATCCACACATACCAAAGCATTTTCACAGTTAGCTTTTTTTTTTTTCTAGTTTTTATCCCAGGATATTCTGTATTTCAATATAGGCTTCAATGGGCTAAGGAAGGTCCCATCATAGATTCTACAAAGAGAGGTTTTCCAAGCTGGTAAATAAAACACAGGTTCTGTTCTATGAGATGAATCCACACCTAATGAAGCATTTTCATAGATAGTTTGTTTATAGTATTTATCACAGATATTCAATTTTTCAGTAAGGGCCTCAATAAGCTCAGAAATTTCCCAACATAGATTCTACAAAAAGAGTGTTTCCAACCTGGTGAAACAAAGCACAGGTTCCATTCTGTTAGATGAATCCATGCATTGCAAAGCATTTCCAGAGTTTGTCTGTTTCTAGTTTTTATCGCGGGATATTCGTTTTTTCACTGTTGGCCTCAATGGGCTCAGAAATGTCTCTTCGTAGATACCACACAAACAGTGTTTCCAAATCAACTCAAAACACAGGTTCTATTTTGTCAGCTAAGTCCACACATCACAAAGCATTTTCACAGATAGCTTGTTTCCAGTTTTTATCTTGGGATATTTGATTTTTCCTTGTGAGCCTCAAAGAACTCAGAAGTGTCCCTTCATAGATTCTACCAAAAGAGTATTTCCAAACTGCTGAATCAAAACACAGTTTGCATTCTGTGAGATGAACTCAAACATCAAAAAGCATGTTCACAGTTAGTTTGTTTCTAATTTTTATCATGGGATATTCTATTTTTCACTATTGGCTTCAGTGGTCTCTGAAATGTCCCTTCATAGACACTACAAAAAGAGTGTTTCCAACCTGGTGAATCAAAATGCAGATCCCATTTTGTAAGATAAATCCACACATCACAAAGCATTTTCATAGACAGCTTGTTTGTAGATTTTATATTGAGATATTCTGTTTTTCACTATCGGCTTCAACAGGCTCAGAAGTTTCCCTGCATGGGCTCTACAGAGACTGTTTCCAAACTCTTGAAAGAAAATAGAAGTTCCGTTCTATGAGGTGAATCCAGGCATAACAAAGCCTTTTCACACATAGCCTGTTTCTAGCTTTATCACAAGATATTTTGTTTTCATTATAGGCTACAATGGGCTCAGAAATATTCCTCTGTAGATTCTACAAAAAGGAGTGTCTCCAGGCTTGTGAATAAAACCAGAGGTTCTAATCTGTGAAATGTATCAACACATCACAAAGCATTTTCACAGACAGCTTTTTTCCAGTTTTTATAGTGGGATATTCAATTTTGTTATGGTTCTCAAAGGGCTCAGAAATGTCCCTTCATAGATTCTACAAAGGAGTGTTTCCAGGTCCATGAACCAAAACACAGGTTGCATTTTTTGAGATGACTCTACAAATCACAAAACATTTGCACCAATAGCTTGTTTCTAGTTTTTAGTCACTGGATATTCTGTTTTTCACTATCGGCTTCAATGGGCTCTATAATATCTCTTCATGGATCCTACAAAGAGTGTTTTGTGTCCATCCTGGTGAATCAAAACGCTGGTTCCATTCTGTGGGATAAATCAACACATCTTAAAGCAGTTTCACAGATAGCTTTTTGGTAGTTTTTATCGCGGGGTATTTGGGTTTTCTCTACAGTCTACAATGGGCTCAGAAATGTTCCTTTGTAGATTCTACAGAGTGTTTCCAACCCGGTGAATCAAAACAGAGGTTCCATTATGTGAGATGAATCCACACATTAGAAAGCATTTTCAGTGATTGCTTGTTTTCTAGTTTCTAGCATGGGATATTCTGTTTTTCACTATTGGCTTCAATGGGCTCTGAAATGTCCCTTCATAGATTCTATTAAATGAGTGTTTCCAACATGGTGAATCTAAACACATTTTCAATTCTGTGAAATGAATCCACACACCACAAAGCATTTTCACAGATTGCTTGTTTGTAGTTTTTATATCAAGATATTCTGTTTTTCTCTATTGGCTTCAACAGGCTCGGAAATGTCCCTTTATGGATTCTACAAAAAGAGTGTTTCCAAACTCTTGAAACAAAACACAAGTTCCATTCTCTGAGATGAATCCAGACATGGCTAAACATTTTCAGTGATAGCTTGTTTCTAATTTTTATCGCAGGATATTCAGTTTTTCACTGTAGGCTAAGATATGTTCAGAAATGTCCTTTCGTAGATTCTGGAAACACACTCTTTCTAACCTGGTGACAGGAAGCAGAAGTTCCATTTCATGAGATGAATCCACACATCACAAAACATTTTCAAAGAAACTTATTAATAGTTTATATCTCAGATATTCTTTTTTTCACTATGAGCTTGAAAGGTCTCAGAAATGTCAATATGTAGGTACTACAAAAAGAATGTTTCCATGCTGGAGAGTCAAAACACAGGTTCCATTCTGTGAGATTAATCCACACATCACAGAGGATTTTCACAGATAACTTGTTTCTAGTGTTTGTTTGTTTGTTTTGAGACGGATCTTGCTCTGTCGCCCAGCCTGGAGTGCACTGGCTCCATCTCGGCTCACCACAAGCTCCACCTCCTGGGTTCATGCCATTCTCCTGCCTCAGCCTCCCAAGTAGCTGGGACTACAGGCGCCCACCACCACACATGGCTTATTTTGTGTGTGTGTACGTATTTTTAGTAGAGACGGGGTTTCACTGTGTTAGCCAGAATGGTCTCGATCTCCTGATCATGATCCACCTGCCTTGGCCTTCCAAAGTGCTGAGATTATAGGTGTGAGCCACAGGCGCCTGGCCTTGTTTCTAGTTTTTACCGTGGGATATTCAATTTTCTTTATGGGCCTCAATGGCCTCAGAAATTTCCTTCATAGATTCTACCAAAAGCCCGATTCCAACCTGGAGAATCAAAACACAGGTTCCATTCTCTGAGATGAATTCACACATCACAAAGCATTTTGACAGGTAGCTTGTTTCTGGTTTTTATTGCAGGGTATTTGGTTTTTCTTATGGGCCTCGGTGGGCTCAGTAAAGTCCCTTCATAGATTATATCAAAAGAGTGTTTCCAACCTGGTGAATCAAAACACAGGTTTCATTCTGTCTGATGAATAGACACATCTGAAAGCATTTTCACAGATAGCTTGTTTCTAGTTTGTATTGTGGGATATTCAATTTTTCACTATAAGCTTCAATGGCCTCATAAATGTCTCTTTGTAGATTCTACAAAAAGAGTGTTTCCATGCTGGTGAATCAAAATACAGCTTCCATTCTGTGGGATGAATCTACATATCACAAAGTATTTTCACTAATAGCTTGTTTCCAGATTATATTGTGAGATATTCCATCATTCCTTATGGGCCTTATATCCTCACATATCTCCCTTCATGTATTCATCACAAGGAGTGTTTCCAATGTGTTGATTCAAAACACAGATTTCATTGTGTGAGATGAAACCACACATCACAAAGCATTTTCACTAATAGCTTGTTCTTAGATTATATAATGGAATAGTTGATTTTTCCTTATGAGCCACAAAAGGCTAATATATGTCCCTATGTAGGTTCTATAAAAAGAGTGTTTCTAACTAGGTGAATGAAATAACAGGTTCCATTCTGTGAGTTGAATCCATACATCACAAAGCATTTTGACAGATAGCTTGTTTCCAGTTTTTATCATAGGGTATTAAATTTTTCTTATGTGCCTACATGGCTCAGAAAAGTCCCTTTGTAGTATCTACCTGAAGAGTGTTTCCAACCTGGTGAATCAAAATTCAGGTTCCATTCTGTGAGATGAATCCACACTACATAAAGCATTTTAACAGAAAGATTGTTTGTAGTTTTTATGGTGGGATATTCCGTTTTTCACTGTAGGTTTCATAGAGGTCAGAAATATCCATTCCTATATTCTACAAAGAAAGTGTTTCCAACCTGGTAAATCAAAACACAGGTTCCATTTTGGAGATGAATCCACATATCACAAAGCCTTTTCAGAAATGACTTGTTGCTAGATTATGTCACATGATATTTGACTTATTTTTATGGGCCTCAACAATCTCACATATGTCCCTTCACAGATTCTACAAAAAGGGTTTTTCCAACCTGGTGAATTAAAACACAGGTTCCATTCTGTGAGATAATCGAAACATCACAAAGCATTTTTACAGGTAGCTCATTTCTGTTTTTTATTGCAGGATATTCGGTTTTTCACTATAGGCTTTAATGGGTTGTGATATGTCCCTTTATAGACTCTACAAAGAGAGTGTTTAAATTCTGATCAATCAAAACACAAGATACATTCTGTAAGGTGAATCCACACATCAGAAAGCATTTTCATTAATAGCTTGTTTCTAGATTTATATCATGGGATATTTGATTTTTCCTTATGGGCCTCTAAAGCTCACATATGTCCCTTTGTATATTCTATGAATAGAGAGTTTTGAAACTGGTGAATCAAAACACAAGATCCATTCTGTAAGATGAATCCGCACATCACAAAGCATTTTCACAGATAGCTTCTAACTAGTTTTTATTATGGGATATTCAATTTTCCTCATGGGCCTCAATGGACACAGAAATCTCCCTTCAAAAATTCTACCAAAAGAGGGTTTCCAACCTGGTGAATTAAATCACAGCTTCCATTCCATGAGATGAATCCACACATCCAAAGTCTTTTCACAGATAGCTTGTTTCAAGTCTTTATTGAGGAATATTCTGTTTCTCAATATAGGATTCAATTGGCTCAGAAATGTTCCTTTGTAGATACTACAAAAAGGGTGTTTCCAAGCTGGTGAATCAAAACACAGGCTCCATTCTGTGAGATGAATCCACACATCATAAAGTATTTCCACAGATAGCTTGTACATAGTTTTTATCGTGGGATATTTGGTTTTTCACAGTAGGCTTCAATGGGCTCAGATATGTTGCATCGCAAATTCTGCAAAACAAGTATTTCCAACCTGGTGAATCCAAACACAGATTCTGTTCTGTGAGATGAATCCACATATCACAAAATGTTTTCACTAATAGCTTGTTCTAGATTATATAACGGGATATTCGATTTTCCTTATACACCTGAAGTTGCTCCCATTTATGTCTTCGTAGATTCTAAGAAAGATAGTTCATAATCTGGTAAATCAAAACACAGGTTCTATTCTGTGAGATGAATCCAGACATCATACAGCATTTTGACAGATACCTTGTTTCCAGCTTTCAACACAGGGTATTCGATTTTTCTTATGGGCCTCCATGGGCTTACAAAAGTTTCTTCCTAGATTCTACAAATAGAATGTTTCCAAGCTGGTGAATCAAAACACAGGCTGAATTGTGTGAGAAGAATTCACACATCACAACACATTTTCACCGATAGCTTGATTCTATATTTATCGCAAGATATTCAAATTTTTTCCTTATGTGACTCAAAGGGCTCAGAAATGTCCCTTCATAGATGCTACCAAAAGTGTGTTTCAAAACTGGTAAATCAAGACACAGGTTGCATTCTGTAAGATGAATCCACACATCACAAAGCATTTGCACAGATAGCTTTTTTCTAGTTTTCATCGCGGGGTATTTAGTTTTTCACTATCGGCTTCAATGGGCATTGAAATGTCCCTTCGTAGATTCTACAAAAGGAGTTTCTGACCTGGTGAATGAAAACCCTGGTTCCATTCTGTGAGATGAGTCCAAATATTCCAGAGCATTTTCACAGATAACTGTTTGTAGTTTTTATATAAGAATATTCTGTTTTTCACTAACAGCTTCACAGGCTCGGAAGTGTCCCTTCATGGATTCTTCAAAAAAAGTGTTTCCAAACTCTAGAAACAAAACAGAGGTTCCATTCTGTGAAATGAATCCACACATTACAAAGCGTTTTCTCAGATTGCTTGTATCTAGTTTTTATCGCAGGATGTTTGGTTTTTCACTGTTCTCCTCAATGGGGTCAGGAAGGTGGCTTAGTAAATACTATAAAAATAGTGTTTCCAACCTGGCAAATCAAAACACAGGTTCTATTCTGTGAGATGAATCCACACATCACAAAAAATTTTCACTAATAGCTTGTTTCTAGGTTATATAATGGGACATTCTATTTTTCCCTATGAGGCACAAAAGGCAAACTTACGTCCCTTCATAGATACTGAAAAAGCAATGTTTCTAACCTAGTAAATCAAAATACACCTTCCATTCTGTGAGATGAATCCCCACATAATAAAGTATTTTGACAGATATCTTGTTTTTAGTTTCTATTGCTAGGTATTCCATTTTTCTTATGAACTTCTAAGGGCTCAGAAAAGTCCCTTCATAGATTCTACCTAACAAATGTTTCCAACCTGTTGATTCAAAACACAGGTTCCATTCTGTGAGATGAATCTCCACATCTCAAAGCAGTTTCACAGATTGCTTATTTCTAGTTTTTATTGTTGGATATTAGGTTTTTCACTGTAACACTCAATGGACTCAGCTATGTCACTTCATAGATTCTATAAAAAGAGTGTTTCCAACCTGGGAATCAAAACACAGGTTCCATTCTGTTAGATGAATCCACACATCACAAAGTATTTTGGCTAATACCTTGTTTATAGATTAGATCACAAGATATTCAACTTTTACTCATCAGTCTCAATAGGCTCACATATGTCCCTTCCTAGATTCTACCAAAAGCATGTTTCAGACCTAGTGAATCAAAACACAGGTCCATTGTGTGAGATGAATCCACACATGACAAAGCATTTCAGATATCTTCTTTCTACTTTTTATTGTGAATTATGCAGTTATTTACAATAGGCTTCAATGAACTCAGAAATGTCCTTTTGTAGATTCTACAAAAAGAGTGTTTCCAACTGGTGAGTCAAAACTTATGTTCCATTTTGTGAGATGAATCCACAGATCACAAAGCATTTTCACTAATACCTTGTTTCTACATTATATCATGGGATATTCGATTTTCCCTTATGGGCCTCAATAGGCTCACATATGTCCCTTCATTGATTCTGCCTAAAGCTTATTTCCAACCTGGTGAATCAAAACACAGGTTCCATGCAGTGAGATGAATCCAAACATCACAAAGCATTTTCACAGAGAGATTGTTTCTAGTTTTGAATGGGGGATATTTGGTTTTACACTACAGGCTTCAGTGGGCTCAGAAATATCCCTTTGTAGATTCTAAAAAAGAATGTTTCCAACTGGTGAATCATAATCCATGTTCCATTCTGTGAGATGAATCTACATATCACAAAGCATTTTCACTAATACCTTGTTTCTATGTTATATCACTGGATATTTGATTTTCCCCAATGGGCCTCAATAGGCTCACACATGTCCCTTTGCTGATTCTGCCAAAAGCATTATTTCCAACCTGGTGAATCAAAACACAGATTCCATTCTTTGAGATGAATACACACATCACAAAGTATTTCACAGATAGCTTGTTTTAGTTTTTATCATGGGATATTTGGGTTTTCACTATAAGCTTCACTGGGCTCAGAAATGTCATGTCCCTTCTTAGATTCTACAAAAAGAGTGTTTCCCAGCTGGTGAATCAAAACACAGGTTCCATTATATGAGATGAATTCACACATCACAAAGCATTTTCACTAATAGCTTGTTTCTAGATTATATGATATGATATTTGACTTTTCCTTATAGGTCTCAGAACACTCACAAATGTCCCTTTGTACATTCTACAGAAAGAATGTTTCTAACCTGGTGAATCAAAATACAGGTTTCATTGTGTGAGGTGAATCCACATATCACAAAGCATTTTGACATATAGCTTGTTTCTAGTTTTCATCACAGGGTATACGATTTTTCTTAATGGCCTCAATGTCCTCAGAAATGTCCCCTTGTAGATTCTACCAAAAGAGGGTTTCCAAACTGGTGAATGAAAATGCAGGTTCCTTATGTGAGATGAATCCATGCGTCACAAAGCATTTTCAAAGATAGCTTCTTTCTAGATTTATCACAAGATATTTGATTATTCCTTAAGGGCCTCAAATGGCTCAGAAACGTCTCTTCATCGATTCTGCCAAAAGAGTGTTTCCAAGCTGGTGAATCAAAACACAGCTTGCATTCTGAAAGATGAATCCACGCAACTGAAAGCATTTTCAAAAATAGCTTGTTTCTCTTTTGTATCACTGGAAGTTCTGTTTTACACCATCGGCTTCAAAGGACTCTGAAATGTCCCTTAATAAATTCTACCAAAAGTGCATTTTTAACCTGGTGAATCAAAACACGGGTTTTAGTCTGTGAGATGAATCCCCACATAACAAAGCATTTTCACAGACAGTTTGTTTGTAGTTTTGTATCGGAATATTTGATTTTTCACTATTTTCTTCAGCGGGCTCAGAAATGTCCCTTAGTAGAATCTACAAAAAGAGTGTCTTCAAACTCTTGAAACAAAATACAGGTTCCATTCTGTAATATGAATCCAGACAGGACGAAGTCTTTTCACCAATAGCATTTTTTTAATCTTATATCATGAAATATTCGATTTTTCCTTACGGGCCTCAATAGGCTCACATATGTCTCTTCGTAGATTCTTAAAAAAAGGATGTTTCCCACCTGGTGAATCAAAACACAGGGTTCATTCTGTAAGATAAATCCACTCACCACAAAGCATTTTCACAGATTGCTTCTTTCTAGTTTTTATAGCTTTTTACTGTCAGCCTCAATGGGCTCAGAAATATCACTTTGTAGATTCTATGAAAAGATGTTTTAACCTAGTGAATCAAAACACAGTTTCCATTCTGTGTAATGAATCCACCCATCACAAAGCATTTTCACAAATTGCTTGTTTCTAGTTTTTATAGCAGGATATTTGCTTTTTACTGTCAGCCTCGATGGGCTCAGAAATGTCACTTCATAGATTCTACAAAAAGAGTGTTTCAACCTAGTGAATCCAAACACAGGTTTCATTCTGTGATATGAATCCACACACCACATAGCATTTTCACCAACAGCTCATTTCTAAATTATATGGAGAGATATTCAATTTTTCCTTATGGGCCTCAATAGGCTAACATATGTCCCTTTGTAGATTTTTTAAAAAGGGTATTTCCAACCTGGTGAATCAAAACACAGGTTCCATTCTGTGAGATGAATCCACACATTTCAAAGCATTTTGACAGATAGCTTGTTATTAGTTCTTATCACGGGATATTCCATTTTTCCATAAGGGCCTCAATAAGCTCAGAAATGTCCCTTCGTAGATTCTACTAAAAGAGTGATTCCATGCTCGTGAATCAAAACACAGGTTGCATTCTGAGAGATGAATTGACACATCTCAATGCATTTTCACAGATAGCTTATTTCTCATTTTTATCACCAGATATTCCGTTTTATGGATATTCCATTTTATACCATTGGCTTCAAAGGGCTCTGAAATGTCCCTTCATAAATTCTACAAAAAGAATGTTTCCAACCTGGTGAATCAAAATGCAGGTTCCATTCTGTGAGATGAATCCCACATCCCAAGGCATTTTCACAGAGAGCTTATTTGTAGTTTATATGTCGGGATATTTGATTTTTCACTATTGGCTTCGGTGGGCTCAGAAACGTCCCTTAGTGGATTCCACAAAATGAGTGTTGCCAAATTCTCAAAAAACAAACAAACAAACAAACAAAACAGAGGTTACATTCTGTGAGATGCATCCAGACAAGACAAAGCCTTTACAAAGATAGCTTGTTTCTAGTTTTTGTTGTGGGATAATCAGTTTTTCACTATAGGGTACAACTGGCTCCTAAATGTCCCTACATAGATTCCAAAAACAGAATGTTTCTATCCAGGAGAAGCAAAATGCGAGTTCCATTTTGGAAGATGAATCCACACGTCACAAAACGTTTCACAGATAGCTTGTTTCTAGTTTTTATTGTGGTATATTCAGTTTTACACTATGGGCTGCAATGGGCTAAAAAATGTCAATTCCTAGATTCTACAAAAAGGGTGTTTTCAAGCTGGTGAATGAAAACACAGTTTCCATTCTGTGAGATGAATCCACATATTACAAAGCATTTTCACAGATAACTTGTTTGTAGTTTTCATAACACGATATTTGGTTTTTCATTATCGGCTTCAACAGAATCAGAAACATCTCTTAGTAAATTCTACCAAGAGTGTTTCCAAACTCTGAAACAAAACACAAGCTCCATTCTGTAAGATGAATCCACACATCACAGAGCATTTTCACAGATAGATTTTTTCTAGTTTTTATCATGGGATATGCAGTTTTTCACTATAGGTTTCAATGGTCTCAGAAATGTCCCTTCGGAGATTCTACAGAAGAGTGTTCCTCACTAGTGAATCAAAACACAGGTTCCATTCTGTGAGACAAATCGACACACCACAGGTCTTCACAGATCACTTGTTTCTAGTTGTTATCACGGGATATTTGGTATTTCAGTGTATGCTTCAATTTGCTCAGGAATGTCCCCTGGGAGACTCTACAAAAGGAGGTTTTCCAACCTGGTAATTCAAACACAGCTTCCATTCTGTGAGATGGATCCACAAATCACAAATCCTTTTCACGATTATTTGTTTCTTTTTATCGCAGCATATTTGGTTTTTCACTGTAGGCATCATTGGTCTCAGAAATGTCGCTTTGTAGATTCTACAAAAAGTGTTTCCAAACTGGTGAATGAAAAAACAGGTTCCATTCTGTCAGGTGAATCCACATATTACAAAGCATTTTCATAAAAGCTTGTTCCTAGATTATATCATGAGATATTAGATTTTTCGTTATGGGCCTCAATAGGCTCACATGTCTGTTTCTAAGATAGCTTGTATCTAGTTTTTATCATGAGATATTAAAATTTCCTTATGGGCTTCATTGGGATCAGAAATGTTCTTTCAGAGATACTACCAAAAGAGTGTTTCCAACCTGGTGAATCAAAACACAGGTTCCATTCTGTGAGATGAATCCACACATTTCAAAGCATTTTCACAGATAGCTTGTTTCTAGTTTTTGTTGCAGGATATTTGGTTTTTCAGTGTAGGCGTCAATGGGCTCATAAATCTCTCTTTGTATATTCTACAAAAAAAAGTCTTCAAGTTGTTGAATTAAAACACAGGTTCCCTTCTGTGAGATGAATCCACACATCACAAAGCATTTTCACACATAGCATGTTTCTAGTTTTTATTGAGGGGTATGCAGTTTTTCACTATAGGCTTCAATTGACTCAGAAATGTCCTTTCATAGATGCTACAAAGAGTGTGTTTCCAACCTGGTGAATCCAAACATAGTTTTCATTCTGTAAGATGAATCCACACATCACAAAGCTTTTTCACAGAGAGCTTGTATCTAGATTTTATCATGAGATATTAGAATTTCCTTATGGGTCTCAATGGGCTCAAAAATGTTCGTTTATAGATACTACAAAGAAAGCATTTACAATCTGGTGAATCAAAGTCTAGGTTCCATTCTGTGAGATGAATCCACACATTTCAAAGCATTTTCACAGGTAGCTTTTTTTTTATTTTTATCACAGAACATTCAATTTTTCACCATAGGCTTCAATGAGTTCAGTCGTGTCCCTTTGTAGATTCTACAGAGAGTGTTTCTCTCCTGATGAATCATATTGCAGGTTCCATTCTCTGAGATGAATCCAGGCATTACAAAGCATTTTCACTAATACCTTGTTTCTAGACTATATCACAGTTTATTAGATTTTCCCTTATGGGCCTCAAGGGTCTCAAAAACATCCCTTCATATACTCTACCAAAAGAGAGTTTCCAAGCTGGTGAATCAAAACACAGGTGGCATTCTGTGAGATGAATTTACACTCACAAAGCATTTGCACAGATAGCTTGTTTCTAGTTTTTTCTGGGATATTCTGTTTTTCACTCTCAACTTCAAAGGACTCTAAAATGTCCCTTCGTAGATTCTACAGAATGTTTCCAACCTGGTGAATCTAAATCCAAGTTCCAGTCTATGAGATAAATCCACACATCACAAAGCATTTTCACAGATAGTTTGTTGATTTTATATTGGATATTCTATTTTTCACTATCGGCTTCAATAGGCTCAGAAATGTCCCTTCATAAATTCTACAAAAACAGTTTTTCAAACTCTTGAAACAAAACGTGGTTCCATTCCGTGACAGGAATTCACACATCACAAAAGCATTTTCATCAATAGCTTGTTTCTCGATTACATCACGAGATATTTGATTTTTCCTTGTGGGCCTCAATAGGCTCACATATGACTTTTCATAGATTCTATAAAAAGGGTGTTTCTCACCTAATAAATCAAAACACAGGTTCCATTCTGTGAGATGAATTCACATGTCAGAAAGCGTTTTCACAGATATTTTGCTTCTAGTTTCTGCTAAGGGATATTCGGTTTTTCATTGTAGGATACAACCAGCTCAGAAATGTCCCTTTGTAGATTTTTCAAAGAGAATGTTTCCAACCTGGTGAATCAAGACACAATTTCCATTTTTTTAAATGAATCCACACATCACAAAGCATTTTCACAGATGGCTTGTTTCTAATTTATATTGATGGATATTTGGCTTCTCACTGTGGGCTGCAATGGGTTCAGAAATGTCAATTTGTAGATTCTACAAAGAGTGTTTCCAAGCTGGTGAATAACAACATAGGTCCCCTTTTGTGAGATGAATTCACACATCACAAAGCATTTTTTTTTTTTTTTTGAGATGGAGTCTTGCTCTGTCACCCAGGCTGGAGTCCATTAGCACGATCTCTGCTCACTGCAAGCTCTGCCTCCCAGGTTCACACCATTCTCCTGCCTCAGCCTCCCGAGTAGCTGGGATGACAGGTGCCCGCCACCACGCCTGGCTAATTTTTGTTGTATTTTAGTAGAGATGGGGTTTCACCATGTTAGCTAGGATGGTCTCGATTTCCTGATCTTGTGATCCACCTGCCTAAGCCTCCCAAAGTGTTGGGATTACATGCATGAGCCACCGCGACTGGCCTACTCGAAGCATTTTCACAGATAGTTTCCTTCTAGTTTTAATCGAGAGATGTTTGATTTTCCTTATGGGCTTCAATGGCCTCAAAAATGTAACTTCGTAGATTCTACCAAAAGCCTGATTCCATCCTGGTGAATAAAAACACAGGTTCCATTTTGTGAGATAAATCCACACATCACAAAACATTTTCACAGATAGTTTGTATCTAGTTTTTATTGCAGGATATTCACTGTTTCACTGTAAGCATAAATGGGATCAGAAATGTCACGTTGTAGATTCTACAAAACAAGTGTTTCCAACCTGGTGAATCAAAACACAGGTTCCATTCTGTGAGATTAATCCACACATCACAAAGCATTTGCACTAATAGCTTGTTTCTAGATTATATATCAGGATATTCGAGTTTTCATTTTGGATCTCAAATCACTCACATATGTCCCCTCATAGGTTCTACAAAAAGAGTCTTTATAACCTGGTGAATCAAACACAGATTCCATACTGTGAGATGAATCCACACATCACAAAGCATTTTGGCAGATAGCTTGTTTCTGGTTTTCATCACCGGGTATTCAGTTTTTCTTATGGGCCTCAATGGGCTCTGAAAAGTACCTTCGTAGATTCTACAAAGAGAGTCTTTCCAAGATGGTGAATCAAAACACAGGTTGCATTCAGTGAGATTAATTCACACATCACAAAGCATTTGCACAGATAGCTTGTTTTTAGTTTGTACTATGGGATATTTCATTTTTCATGATCGACTTCAATGGGATCAGGAATGTCCACTAGTAGATCCTACAAAAGGAGTGTTTCCAACGAGGTGAATCTAAATGCAGGTTTCATTCTGTGAGATGAATCCACACATCACAAAGCATTTTCACAAATAGCTGGTTTGTAGATTTTATATCGGGATATTCTGCTTTTCACTGTCGGCTTCAATGAGCTCAGAAATATCCCTTCACGGATTTTATAAAAAGACTACTTCCAAACTCTTGACAACAAAACAGAGGTTCCCTTCTGTGAGATCAATCCAGACATAAGAAAACCTTTTCACAGACAGCGTATTTCTACTTTTTATTGTGGGATATTCGGTTTTAAACTATAGGCTAAAATTGGCTCAGAAATATCCCTTCGTTGATTCTGGAAACAGGGTGTTTCCAATCTGGTGAATCAAAACACAAGTTTCATTTTGTAAGATGAATGCACACATCACAAAGCATTTTCACAGATGGTTTGTTTCTAGTTTATATAGCGGGATATTCGGTTTTTCACTATGGGCTTCAATGGCCTCAGAAATGTCAATTTGTAGATTTTACGAAAAGAATGTTTCCAAGCTGGTGAATAAAATCACAGGTTCCATTCTGTGAGATGAATCCACACATCACCAAGAATTTCACAGATAAATTTTTTCTAGTTTTTATTGCAGGATATTCTGCTTTTCACTGTGGGCTTCAATGGGCATTGAAATGGCCCTTCATAGTTTCTACAAAAAGAGTGTTTCCAACTTGATGAATTAAATGCAGGTTCCATTCTATGAGATGAATCCACACATCACAAAGCAGTTTCACAGACAGATTGTTTGTATTTTTTATATCAAGATATTCTGTTTTTCACTAACGGCATCAATGGGCTTAGAAATGAACTCCCATTCACAATTGCTTCAAAGAGAATAAAATACCTAGGAATCCAACTTACAAGGGATGTGAAGGACCTCTTCAAGGAGAACTACAAACGACTGCTCAATGAAATAAAAGAGGATACAAACAAATGGAAGAACATTCCATGCTCATGGGTAGGAAGAATCAATACTGTGAAAATGGCCATAATGCCCAAGGTAATTTATAGATTCAATGCCATACCCATCAAGCTACCAATGACTTTCTTCACAGAATTGGAAAAAACTACTTTAAAGTTCATAAGGAACCAAAAAAGAGCCTGCATCACCAAGTCAATCCTAAGCCAAAAGAACAAAGCTGGAGGCATCACCCTACCTGACTTCAAACTATACTACAAGGCTACAGTAACCAAAACAGCATGGTACTGGTACCAAAACAGAGATATAGATCAATGGAACAGAACAGAGCCCTCAGAAATAACTCCGCATATCTACAACTATCTGATCTTTGACAAACCTGAGAAAAACAAGAAATGGGGGAACGATTCCCTATTTAATAAATGGTGCTGGGAAAACTGGCTAGCAATATGTAGAAAGCTGAAACTGAATCCCTTCCTTACACTTTATACAAAAATTAATTCAAGATGGATTAAAGACTTAAACGTTATACCTAAAACCATAAAAACTCTAGAAGAAAACCTAGGCATTACCATTCAGGACATAGGCATGGGCAAGGACTTCATGCCTAAAACACCAAAAGCAATGGCAACAAAAGCCAAAATTGACAAATAGGATCTAATTAAACTAAAGAGCTTCTGCACAGCAAAAGAAACTACCATCAGAGTGAACAGGCAACCTACAAAATGGGAGAAAATTTTCACAACCTACTCATCTGACAAAGGGCTAATATCCAGAATCTACAATGAACTCAAACAAATGTACAAGAAAAAAACAAACAACCCCATCAAAAAGTGGGCAAAGGACATGAACAGACACTTCTCAAAAGAAGACATTTATGCAGCCAAAATCACATGAAAAAATGCTCATCATCACTGGCTATCAGAGAAATGCAAATGAAAACCACAATGAGATACCATCTCACACCAGTTAGAATGGCAATCATTAAAAAGTCAGGAAACAACAGGTGCCAGAGAGGATGTGGAGAAATAGGAACACTTTTACACTGTTGGTGGGACTATAAACTAGTTCAACCATTGTGGAAGTCAGTGTGGCAATTCCTCAGGGATCTAGAACTAGAAATACCATTTGACCCAGCCATCCCATTACTGGGTATATACCCAAAGGACTATAAATCATGCTGCTATAAAGACACATGCACACGTATGTTTATTGTGGCACTATTCACAATAGCAAAGACTTGGAACCAACCCAAATGTCCAACAATGATAGACTGGATTAAGAAAATGTGGCACATATACACCATGGAATACTATGCAGCCATAAAAAATGATGAGTTCATGTCCTTTGTAGGGACATCGATGAAGCTGGAAAGCATCACTCTCAGTAAACTATCGCAAGAGCAAAAAGCCAAACACCGTATATTCTCACTCATAGGTGGGAATTGAACAATGAGAACACATGGACACAGGAAGGGGAACATCACACTCTGGGGACTGTTGTGGGGTGGGGGAGGGGGGAGGGATAGCATTAGGAGATATACTTAATGCTAAATGACGAGTTAATGGGTGCAGCACACCAGCATGGCACATGTATACATATCTAACTAACCTGCACATTGTGCACATGTACCCTAAAACTTAAAGTATAATAATAATAAAATTAAAAAAAAAAGAAATGTCTGTTTATGGATTCTACGAAAAGATTGTTCCTAATTCTTGAAACAAAACAGACTTTCTATTTTGTGAGATGAAGCCATACATGACAAAGCCTTTTCACAGATAGCTTGTTTCTAGTTTTTATCCTGGGATATTTGGTTCTTAACTATAGGTTACAGTAGACTCACAAATATCCTTTCATAGATTCTACAAACTCAGTCTTTCCAACCTGGTGAAGCAAAACACGAGTTCCATTTCGTGAGATGAATTCACACATAAGAAACCATTTTGAAAAATAGCTTATTTCTAGTTTTATATCGTGGGGTAATCAATTTTTTTTTTAATGGGCCTCAGTTGGCTCAGAAAAGTCTTTTCGTAGATTCTACCAAAAGAGCATTTCCAACCTGGTGAATCGAAAAACAGGTTCCATTTGGTGGGATGACCACACATCACAAGCATTTTCAGAGATAGGTTGTTTCTAGTTTTAATCTCAGTATATTCAGGTTTTCACTATAGGCTTCAATGGGCTCAGAAATGTCTCTTCATGGATTCTACAAAAGAGTGTTTACAACTTGGTGAATCAAAATACATGTTCCATTCTGTGAAATGAATCCAAACATCACAAAGCATTTCCACTAATAACTTGTTTCTATATTATATAATAAGGTATTTGGTGTCTTCTTATAGGCCTCAATAGGCTCCACGTATGTGTCCTCATAGATTCCACAAAAAGTGTTTGAAACCTGGTGAATCAAACCACAGGCTCCATTCTGTGAGATGAATCCACACATCACAAAGCATTTTCACGGATAGATTGTATCTACTTTTTACCACGGGACATTTGGTTTTTCACCAAACTCCTCAATGGTCTCAGAAATGTCGCTTTGTAGATTCTACAAAAATAGTGTTTACAACGTTGTGATTCAAAATGCAGGTTTCATTCTGTGAGATGAATCCACACATCACAAAGCATTTTTACTAATAGCTTGTTTCTAGTTTATATAACAGATTATTTAATTTTTCCTTAAGGATCACAAAAGGCTAACATTCGTCCCTTCATAGATTCTACAAAAAGAGAGTTTCTGACTCAGGAATCAAAACACAGCTGCCATTTTGTGAGATGAATCCACACATCACAAAGCATTTTTACAGATATCTTTTTTCTATTTTTTTTTGCTGTGTATTCGATTTTTCCTATGGGCTTCAATGGGCTCAGAAATGTCCCTTTGTAGATTCTACCAAAAGAGTGTTTCTAATCTGGCGAATCAAACCAGGGTTCAATTTTGTGAGATGAATCCACACATCACAAAGCATTTTCACAGATAACTTGTTTCCAGTTTTTATCACAGGATATTCAGATTTTCACTATAGGTTTCAATGGGGTCAGAAATGTCTTTTCGTATATTCTACAAACATTGTGTTTACAACCTGGTGAAACAAACATAGGTTTCGCTCTGTGAGATGAATCCACAAATCACAAAGCATTATCACAGATTGCTTATTTTTAGTTTTTATCGTGGGTTATTTGGTTTTTCAATGTTGGCCTCAACAGGTTCAGAAATGTTGCTTTGTAGATTCTACAAAATGAGTGTTTCCAACCTGGTAAATCAAAACACAGGTTCCATTCTATGACATGAATCCACACATCACAAAGCATTTTCACCAATAACTTGTTTCTAGATTTTACCACGAGGTATTTGGTGTTATCTTCTGGGCCTCAGTAGGCTCACATATGTGTCTTTGTAGATTCTACAAAAAGGGTGTTTCCAACCTGGTGAATCACAACACAGGTTTCATTCTGTGAGATGAATCCACACATCACAAAGCATTTTCATAGATAGCTTGTTTCCAGTTCTTATCTTGGGATATTCGATTTTCACAGATAAATTATTTCTAGTTTTTATTGTGGGATATTCCATTTTTCACTATCAGCTTCAATGGGCATTGAAATGTCCCTTCATAGATTCTACAAAAAAAAAGCGTTTCCAAAATGGTGAATCAAAATGCAAGTTCCATTCTGTGAGATGAATTCACACATCACAAAGCAGTTTCACCGACAGCTTGTTTTTAGTTTTTATATTAAGATATTCTGTTTTTCACTAACGGTATCAACAGGCTTAGAGATTTCTCTTCATGGATTCTACAAAAAGATTGTTTCCAAACTCTTGAAACAAAACAGAGTTGCCATTTTGTGAGATGAATGCATACATGACAAAGCCTTTTCACAGAGAGCTTGTTTCTAGTTTTTATCCTGGGATATTCGGTTCTTAACTATAGGCTACACTGGGCTCACAAACGTCCCTTCATAGATTCTCCCATGTGAGAAGAAACGTCACAACACATTTTCACTGATAGCTTGATTCTATATTTATCCCAAGATATTCGACACTGTATTGATTTGAGTGCTGGGAACCCTTCCACTCTGCTGGAGCCAAACAGAAAATGCGGATTTCTGGGTGGATGCCAGGGGATGTTAGTGGGGCTCCAGGGATGTAGAGTTGCAGAGGCTGCTGGGCCCTGGGGCAAGATGCAGTCTCATGCGGGCTGAGTTCTCAATATGGCTCCATGCTGCAGCTGCATAGGACTTGGGGAATGCATGGGACCAAGCCTGACCTCTCGCTCTGGAGCAATGCCATGGAGTGGACTCCAGTGAGCTCCCTATGCCAACCTGCCAACCAGTCTCGGGCCCCTTGGAAGTCAAGGGACTCTTTCATGGCTAGGTTTATAGGAATCTGCAGTGGAAGTATGGACCACTTGGGATCTCTCACTTACTTTGCCAATACCAGAGAGCCTCTCAAACTCCTGTCCAATCCCAGCTGGGCTGTCTACCTTGCCTCCCTCTGCTTTGGTGCCTTGTGTGTTTCTTGTCACTTCTATGCTGAATTCCAGCATTCCCTCTTAGATGTTTTATTTTAAGTGTGCTATTTTGTTTGTACTTTGTGGAAGAGTTCAATGTCCTATATCTCTATTCAGCCATCTTGAAAGAGTCCCCAAATGTTCCTTTTTGTAAGGTGCCATCAAAATATATTTAACCATTTCCTTTCAGAATTTTAAGGTCTCTGTCTTTCTCTCCTTGTTCTTTCAATAAAATTGTGATGAACATCCTCATATTGTGGTCTTTTCCTGGCTCTGATTATTTTCTTAGAATAATTTCTAGAAGGGAAATTACTAGTATCGTATTACAAAGTTAATCTTTAAAGCAGGTGACACTGTAAAGCATCTCATTCACTATGTGTGCATGCAAATTAAAGGCTCTGATGCATCAAATATATCACCATGTAAACATAGTAATGGTCATTGAAGTATGTCTATATATGCAGACATTTTCACTACGTTTTCCAAAAGTGATCATGAAGATCTCATCAGTGATAAAGTTTCCAAAGCTACAGATACACAAAGTTAAATAAACATTGTATTATTTATTATTATTTTTATTTATTACATTAATAAATATACTTATTATATAATATATTTATTAATATATCAATAAAGAAATGTTTATTATTCTTATGTAACTGTACTGCAGCAGGAAAATCAAAAAAGTAATACAATAAAACAAAATTAAACATTAATCATAATACTTACAATAAATTCATTCTTGATTTAGTATATATCAAATCATATCCCATATGCCTTAACATGTGAGACACTGTCCAAAGGAATTTTAAATACAGGTAAAAAATTATAATTTACATAATAAATATAGCATAAAAGATCTTTATGCTACTATGTTCTAGTAGTTCTGTATATGATTTAAAATGAATCTATTCTGTCTAATTTGACTTTGATACAGTAGACAAAACTGCTATTACACTTGGTATTATTATATTTTCTAAATCCTTTCATAAACAGACATACACTGGAGCATAAATTAGAGATATAAGTCATGTCCCTGGAGCTGGCCTGTTTGTTGACTCCATTCCAACTCCCATTTCTTTTAGTTTTATAGAAATATTCCTAACTTTGAATTAGTAATAAGTAAAATAAGTATTGATTCAATTATCTTCTAGGTGGTCTCCTGGGATATCATTAAGAAAGAGGCAAAACTTATTCTAACTTTAAAACAAATATCTCATCTCAATCAAGTACTCTTTCTTAAACTATTTAGGTTCATTTTATGGTAGAGCACATGAAGAAGAGATTTTATAACCATAACTAACTTTTATAATTCTGACAAAAATTATTCATAATGTTATTTTGATTTAATTTCTCAAAATTGGTAACCATTTTCTTGTGTAAATAGGTATATCTTCCTGTCGTCAGATAACCAGAATTAAGTATTTTTAAATGTTTATAAAAAAAAAGTAACTAATGAATTGACTATGAGTTTGGCTCCATAACAAGCTTCTAGACTAATAGGTTTACATCTTTAAGTCCCATCAGTTCTTCATTCCTTAAGGCTTTTACGAAATGTACTCCCTGAGGGCTAAAGGAGAGGGTTGTTGAGAAGTAGGAGAAGGAGAATACGTTATGTGGTCAAGAACACAGGACTCCCTGTCCACCATGCTCCAAGTCTGGAGTTATGGTTTTATCCCACGAGTGGCAGGATGAAGGCATTTCTTATCTTGTTCAGACTCATGTGACAGAAGCTCTGTTCTCAGCAGATGCAGTCAAAAAAGGTCAAGAACTCTTTTCTTTCACCTCACCCCAACTTGTAGAGTGGAAGCTCTGCCACAGTTGCAGCAGACAGAGAATATTCAGTGCTAATTGATCCCATCTCAACTTGTTTACAAGACTAAGGCTTTATGTATGAGAAAAGAGTAAGGCAAGAAGACCAGGGGCCACCATGTACCCCAGCACCCTTTGTAAACCAGCAGTGTCGTTCCAGAAGCAGCAATGTTAAATAAAATGGTTAACATAACAAACAATATAAATATAAACTTGCTTTTTTTTTCTCTAAATTGCTTTAAAATGTATATATTTACACAAAGTAATAATGATATTAATGTTTTATTGTGCCTGTAACATATATTATTTGAGCAACAACAATAATAGTACAAAAAGTGGTTAGAGCTATATAGACATAAACTTTATTTGATGGGTATTAAAATAGTTTAAATATAAAACAGATTTTCATAAATTAGATACACATAAGCCCTAGATCAAAAATTAAGGAAATAACCCAAAAAATATCATTTTAAATTATTAAAAGTATTAAAATGTTACATTATAAAATATTCACTTAAATCCAAGGAAAGCCATGAAAGAGAAATAAAGGGACAAAAAGACCTGATAAATCTAGGGAAAAAAGTGTAAAATGTCAGATTAAATTCAACTACATCAATATTAACCCTAAGTGTAAGTGGATTAAACAATTTACTCAAAAGGCTACATTTTCAATAATGGAGAGAACCAACAGGCAGAAGATCATCAAGGAAATAGAACACTTAATGGCAGTAAACATCAAGGAGACCTAACAAATATTTTCCTACAGCACTCCTTCTCAATGCCATGGAACATTCACCAGAATAGACAACACACTAGTATATAAAACAGCCCTCACTATATTGACAGGGATTGAAATATTGCAAATTACGTTTTCTAACTACAATGGAATTGAATTAGAAATCAACAACAGAAGATCAATTGAAGTGTTCTCAAATACATGCAAATTAAACCACACACTTAAAAAAAAAAGTCTCTAAAAGAGAATGTGATTATGTCCTTTGCAGAGATATGGATGGAGCTGGAGGCCATTATCCTTAGCAAACTAATCCAGGAACAGAAAACCAAATACCACATGTTTTCACTTTTAAGTGGGAGCTAAATGATGAGAACACACAGACACATAGAGGGGAACAACACATACTGGGGCCTGTCAGAGGATGGAGGGTGGGAGGAAGGAGAGGATAAGGAAAAATAACTAATGGGTACTAGGCTTAATACCTGAGTATTGAAATACCCTACATAACAAATCCCCATGAAACTTGTTTAATCCAAAACTGGATAGTACCCCTGAACTTAAAATAAAAGTTTAAAAATATAATAATAAATAATGAAATATACAATTAAGTTAAAATAAATAAATATGTAAATAAACCAATGGATCAAGGTAAATTATAAATTATCTAGAGAAGAATAAAACTAAAACACAAAATCCCCAAATCTATGTAAAGCAGCTAGGGCAGTTCTCAGAGGAAAATGTATAGTTCTAAGTATCTACATTAACAAAGAGTAATGATCTTAAATCAGTAGTCTAAACTTCACCTAAGACACTGGAAAAATAGGAGCAAATTAAATCCAAGCAAAAAAAGGAAAAAATAAATTTAAAGTGAAAGTAAATAAAATAGAAAGTGGAAAAACAACAGCAAAAATTAAAATCAAAAGTTAGTTCTTCAAAAATATTAGCATATTAATAATTGACAAACCTTTAGTTAGTCCAAGAAAAAAAAGAGAGAAAACTCAAATTATCAAACTCAGAAATGAAAAAAAGCATACCACTACTGAACTTACGTATTAAAAAGAACACTAAATAAATAATATGAACAATTATATACTAAAAAATTAGATAACTTAGATAAGTGTTTAATTTCCTAGGAAAACACAAACTACCAAAACTGACTCAAGAATAAATAGACAATTTAAATAGGCGTATAACAAGCAGATTTATTTCATAATCAAAAAATGTATCCACAGCGAAAAGCACAAGCCCAGATAGCTTCACTGACAAATGCTACGAAACACGTAAAGAATTAATACCAATCCCTCACAAAGTTTACCAAGAAATAGAATAGGAGGAAACACTTAACTAATTTCATGAGGCTGGAATTGCACTGATACAAAACCAGGCAAAGACATCACAAGAAAACTATATATTCATTATTTCTCTCATATATACGCAAAATTCCTTACCAAAATGCTAGCAAATCAAATTTAGCAACACATACAAAAGATTATACAGCGTCATATGTGGTATTTATATAAGTAACACAAGTTTGGTTTCACACATGAAAATAAGTCAATGTTATCAATTATTCTATTAATTATCAATATTCAATTAATTATATTAATAAGTGAATAAAACACAGTTGTCTCAATAGAAACAGAAAGTGCATTTGCTGTAATCCCTTACTCTTTTATAAGACAAAACAAAACACAAAAACAAACTGGAAATAAAATGAATTTCCTTCTCAACCAACTAAAACATATTTAGAAAAAACCCTCAAATAACTATACACTTCATAATGAAAGAGTGCTTTCGCCTGTGATCAGAAACAAGATGCCCTTTCTAACCACTTCTATTTAACAGTATAGTGGAAGTTCTAGCCAGAGAATTAGGCAAGGAAAAATAAATAAATAAAGCCATCTAGATGGAAATAAAGAAGTAACATTATCTCTATCCTAGATGATGCAATAATTTACATAAACAGTTCTAAACACCAATTAAAATTATTAAACCTTACAAATGAGTTGCACCATACAAAAAAGTACAAAAAAGCCATTGTATTTGTGTACTTGAAATAATCTAAAAATAAAATTATGAAAACGTTCCATATCTGTTAATCTTTTAGAAGAACCAACTTTGAGTTTCATTCATTCCCTCTGTTGTTTTTTCACTCTCCAGTTATTCTTATTTTAATCTTTATTATTTAGTTTTTTTCCCTTGCTTTGGGTTTAACTTACTCATATTTTTCTTAGGGCTAAAGATAGTTTACTGATTTGAAATCTTTCATCTTTCTTAATATAGGCATTTATAATAATAAATTTTACCTTGAGCACTGTTTCAGCTGCTTCATTAGTGTGGAGATTTTGTATTTTCATTTAGCTCCAAATTAGATACCCAAGAGAAATAAAACACTTCATATCCACAAAAATTTGTATACAAATATTCATATGAGTATCATAAGGGCCCAAATGTGGAAATAGACCAAATCTTCAGCTGATAATTCAATTAAAAATGGTACATTCATGCAAAAGGAAAATTTATAGTTGTAAGTACCTACATGAACAGAGAGGAAAGATCTTAAACCAGTAATCTAAACTTCACCTAAGAGACTGGAAAAACAGGAGCAAATTCAGCAATATTGTTCAATAATATTGTTTGATATTGTTCAACAGTAAAAAGGAATGAAGTACTGATAAAAAGGAATGAAGTACTGGATTAACTTTGTAATCATTGTATTAACTGAAAATACCCATTCCCCCAAATCACATAATATATGATTACACTCATATGAAAAGTCCAGAAAAGAAAAATCCATAGAGATGGGAAGCAGAGTAGTGTTTATGTAGGGTTAGTCCAGTGATGGGGGAAGGCAAGGGGAGCAGAGTGACTGCTCAGAGGCAGGAGATTTCTTCAAGGAGTGATGGAAATGCTCTAAATTAGAGTCTGGTGATAGTTGTGCAGCGCTGTGAATGTACTAGTGCCATTGAATTGTATATTTTAAATGGTAAATTTTATGGTGTGTAAATTATATCTCAAAAAAGATGTCACCACCACAAAAAAGCATAAATTCTGGTGCTATACCTAACTTTATATCCCAATTTTGCCATTTATTAGTTGTGTGAACATGTTAGGCATCATCTTTTGTTAAGTTGAAGAATATACAAATTGAACTTGACTGGTTTTGGCAAAAATCATGGACTTATAAAACTGAAAACTCTAGACATACACTAGTTTTAAGTATGACTGCATCCTGGTGGTCTAGATCAATTCATCAAAATCATTATTCTAGTCCTCAGTCGTGCTTTCTCCTTTAATAATTCCATAATACTGCAGGATATTTCCTTATTGTGATAAGGTGGCTGCCAATGGCCAAATGGATTTATCATATCCCCTTAGCAACTATACAGAAAAAGGTTTACTTTTCCAATAATTCTAATAAATATCTCATCGGGGTTTCATTGTCATTAATTGTTTCATAAATCTGTTCCTAAACCATTCACTGTAATTAAAGGGAAGGAATCTTTTGAGTATCTACTCCTGAGTTACATGTCTTATCTACATTGCATGTAGCAGTAGAGGCTATTTTCTTAAGAATAATAAGGATTTATAACCAGATGAAAGTAGAATAGATAGATAGATAGATAGATAGATAGATAGATAGATAGATAGATAGATAGATATGATAGATAGATAGATAGATAGATAGATGATAGATAGATAGATAGATAGATAGATAGATAGATATGATAGATGATAGATAGATAGATAGATAGATAGATAGATAGATAGATAGATAGACAAAAAACCTAGATGTATGGTACTCTTTAACAAGTGACTTACTCCTCTACTCCTTAGTTTTATCACTTGTAAAATGGATTATAACCACGCTTCAATAATCTTGGCCTCAAAGAGTTGTAAGGAGTGAGTAAAATGATTGACTTTAGTATTTAATATAGCACCTGCTTTATAGTATTGACTCAAAAATATTAACTAGGGCCTGGCACAGTGGCTCATGCCTGTAATCCCAAGATTTTGAGAGGCTGAGGCAGGAGGATCGCTGGAGCCCAGAAGGTTGAGACCAGCCTGGGCAACAAAATGAGATCCCATTTTTACAAAAATATTTAAAAATTACCTGGGTGTGGCGAAACATGCCTGTGGTCTCACATCCTCAGGTGGCTGAAGTGGGAGGATTGATTGAGCCTGGGAGGTCGAGGTGATAGTAAGGCAGACACTGCCACAAAAAACAAATTGGTTAACTAGCATTTTTTTGTAATGTGTTAAAATAGAAATACAGGCAAGATGTTTAACCATTATAAACTATTATAAAATATATTTTGAAATGAGTATGATCTTTTGTCTTTATTAGGGTTTTTTCTTCTTTCTCTTTTCTTTTTGAGATGGAGTCTCGCTCTGTCGCCCAGGCTGGAGTGCAGTGATGCAATCTCAGCTCACTGCAAGCTCTGCCTCCCGGGTTCACGCCATTCTCCTGCCTCAGGCTCCCATTTATTAGGGTTTTTTAATGACAAGTTACCTGATGTAGTTACATTCCTCTAGAAAATGCTTTACTCTTGGTCATGCAGTATGGTGCTCATAATTCTGAATAACTTCATAAGGTTTTGTTGTTTGTTTACTTGGTCATATGGTTTACATTGGCAACACTAAAAAATATATAAACCAAAAATAAAGACACTTCCTTTATATATAAAAAGAAATGAAAATATATGATGTATCAGTATGAATTCAATTCACTCAGATCCTCTCTCATGCTTTGGCATCAAGAGTTAGAATTCTTTTCCCTGATGACAGCCTTGAGGACCCAGGTTGGCTGTATTAATCAAAACCTATTTTGGAACATTCTCCAGTTGAGATAGGTAGCTCATTCCTCCCTCGGTGCTCCTTCCTGGATTTTAGGAGCCTGTTATCCTCCCGTCTTATCAGTAGAGCAAGAAGAATACCCTCTCTGATGAAGTCACCCCTCCATGTATGCTAGCTTTTCTTACTTCCT
Source organism: Homo sapiens (assembly GCF_000001405.40). Taxonomy (NCBI): domain Eukaryota; kingdom Metazoa; phylum Chordata; class Mammalia; order Primates; family Hominidae; genus Homo; species Homo sapiens. The sequence continues at coordinate 80,977,447 of NC_000003.12, forward strand.
TCTCTTCTTCAGCATAGCATACTTTCCTTCTCATTAGCTACATTTCACAACAAATTTAAACTGTATTGTGATTCTATAGGTTTAGGAAAGTTCTGATAAAGCAGCATGCATCCTGTTTCCAAAACCCACCTGGTCACGGCTTAGTACCTGAATTTATGGTATACTCTAAATTCTATAGGCTTGTGAACTCTGACTGAAGAGGTGCTTTCAGAATTACTCAGTCCTAACTCATTTCATCCTACTCCCTAGAGTAGCCTTACTTTGGGTTTTGTACTTTATTTTAAATTCATGTTATACTTATGCTCATTTGATATGTCCAAATTTAATTCATCTAACTTTCCATGGCATACTTCGACAACTTCCTGTACACTTTGAAGTCTATATGTATTATTTTTAATCTTAAAATTTTCATGTAAAATGCTTATCTAGCTTCTAGGAAGCTCATCAACAGTACTCAAGAAGAAAAGCACATGAATACAATCTTCAGATTTTCAGTGTTTAAATCATCAAATTATTAGATTTAAAAAAATTCTCCTTAGGGCATAAGCTAGCTGAATTGATTCCTGTGGTTTGCAACCAAAAGATATCCACTCATTTTTCTGTAATAGATCCAATTTTTGCAATGTGCCAATATGACTATTTTAAAAATTTCAATCATTTTCTTATTCTTGAGAGTTAAAGGAGCCACCAAGTAATACAGATTTGATACTGAGAAACATGTAATTGTCTCTAAATAATAGCCAATTGTAACATCTTCCCAAAACATACTGAATGATCCTCATTTGCTTAAACCTTAAAACAGCAAAATTTACACACCAATTTCTTCCTGAGGTTACTATATAGATTTTTTTTTGGTCCTTAATGTTGCTATTGGAACTCACAAATTGCTTGCAAAGTAATCTCAGCCCAGATGCTCTGTGCCTGACTTGCAAAATAGGACCCTTAAAAGCTTTCCCTCACTACCCTTCTCTTTATTTTCTCTGCACTTGTAGTAATAAGGAAAGCAGCAGCTGCTTCCATTGACTGCCTCACGGTTCCAGAATTATACTGGACAAAGATGATAATGCCCTTCCTATTACCTCTTTGTGGAACATGCAACTAAGTCTGAATGAGAGCAAAGAAAATATCTATGAAAGTATCTTGCTGATAATTGGATAATTCAAAAGAACTAGTTGTGTCCACACTGCTTAGAGCTCATGGTAACGAAGAGTGTTTTTCCCTCCCTGATATAGAAAGAAAAAGAGTGAGAGATGTGGATGCACTAATTAAAAAAATAAAACGTGTAGGCCTGCTGTCAGGCCAGAAGGAATTTTAATACACAAACAGTGACTGCATGTGTTTGACATACATGGTGACAGTTTGAAAGGCTTTTTACATTCACCACATTTTCATTAAAATTGAGCATGTAAACCAGACATTCTATTACCAGATCATAAAACCAATATATCCTTGGATGTTTCTTGAAACGAGATTTTCACAAATTTGCAACTCTAAGAATGTAACCTTGGGAAAGGTTCTGAGGGGCCAATCAAAAGTTAATACAAAAATGTGCTCAAGGAAAAGATTTTTAAGTTAAAACTAAAAAGTTGTTCTATTCCCCCAGACAACATTACTCAATAGAAATAGAATTCCTAATTTAGCATGAGGCTAATAAGTAATCTTACTATTCTAAATATCTACCATATTTTAACAATAATACATTAAGCTTTTAGTTTATAGTAATGTTGGTATATAGAAGGGCACTAATTGTTTTTAATCTGCTTTTAGGAGACTGATGATTCAATCCAATAGTAACACAAATACATTTCATAATAAATGTAAAGTAAGTTAGATTCTGAGTCTGTCTGTGATTTTGATCTCATCTTTCTATACATTCTTGTTTCATTTAGAATTACTTCTCTTACATCTGCATTTAATCTGTCCTGCCTCATTGCATCTTCTCTTTCATTCAATCAACAACATGGTGGTCTCTTACTTGGCTATGATATTTTTGTAGATTTCATTAACAAAGGATGATATTTTAAAAGAGATTTTTAGATTAACCAATTATCTTCCCAATAAGTACTTTCTTCCAGTCAATTCACTTAGTTTGAAGTTTTACTTTAAAATGAAATGAAGACCATGTGAAGGATAAAAGCTAACATAATGGCACCATGCACTCATTATGTAAGATTGTGCTTTTGACATTTGCTTTGATGCCAAAGGAAGTTAGTTCCATAGTAACCATAGAAACAGATTGTACTACAGATTAGAGCCATTTCTATTAGTGATTGCTAAGGAATATATTTGATGCATTGCAATGAACACTAATTATACCAACTATTTAGCAACAGACGCCAAATGGTGTGATTCTGTTTGGGCAGTCGGATTTGCATAGTAATTTGAACTCCCCTACACTATTCAAAGTATTAGCTCTCATTGCTTTAATAACAAATACTGACTATGCATCCATATGGGTCCAGGGACTAAACTAATTACTATATGGTGTTAATAGAAAAAATTATTAATAGAGTTGTGAAGGCTGGAAAAGAAATATAGAAACTAGAATCTAGTAAAATAAAATTTCAGGAATTGCAAGTAATCTAGCCAGAAATCATACAACTCTGACTTTTAAAATAAGTCCAAGGAGACAGAGATAGCCTTTTGAGAAAAGTAGTAGGCACTATCTATTGATTGCAGAGCATATGAAAAGGTCACTACTCCAAAAAACAATGGAGATATTTTAAAATCCCATTTTTCAGACAACATATAAAGTTACTTCTAAAATTATAGGACTTGATTTTAAGGACAAAACACTCTCTGGGTGGTGGTATCTTGGAGTTTTAAAATCTTGAGATTTTTATAATTATTTGACACTCAACTCATAACATTGGATGTAGAATTGGAATGGAAACCTGACATGGGGAGAAGCGACTAGAGGCATTTAAACAGGATAACAAAGTGAAATGATGATTTCTTTCTAAATATTCTATGCTAAATATTGAACACAAATTGAACTCAAATAACACTGCAACCCCAACCTTCCACTGTGCCAGGTGCCGCTAGTTGATCAAAGCCTTCTTTCCCATCAAGCTAAGATGCTCCTCAATCCAAAATTATTGAGCCACTTTTGATGAAAAGAGTTTAAAATTAGTTGAAACTTATTGAATTGCCCTAGCCTTATCCAGATAACAAGAAAAAAAAGAGGCTTAAATTAATAGTACAGCATTCCCACATATCATCAGACCAGAAATAAGATGGAATAGGACAGAGCTATCAGAATAATAGAGACTTTTATAAATACTGAGCATTGTGTGTGGCAGCAGAGTGCACAGGTATGCTCAGATATCCTGAGGTTTAACCAGAAGTTATTATTTTTACTTTTATATGTAACACATGCTAGAAGTTTCCCCTTAGCCTGGACCCTATGATTTTAAAAATATTTTGTCCTTTCACTCACTGATCTCCAAATTAATATTGGGCAAATATTTAAAAGATCAACAACTGAATAAAAACCAACTTGTTCTTTCAAACAGAGAGAAAACTATATGTATGAGAACTTAAGGATTTCTTATTATCACTAGTAGAATCGAAGTCTTATATTTAACAAGTCATAAATGCCCCTACATATTTGCAGATGCTGATTGTTCTTCCCATAAATGTTTTACCCAGTAATATAGTTTGGCTTTGTGTCCCCACCCAAATCTCATGGTGAAATGTCATCCCCAGTGTTGGGGGAGGGACCCAGTAGGAGGTGATTGGATCATACAGTGGATTTGCCCCTTGCTGTTCTTATGATAGTGAATGAATTCTCACAAGATCTGGTTGTTTGGAAATAAGTGGCACTTTCCCTTTCTCTCTCTCTCTCTCTGTCTCTCTCTCTCTCTCTCTCCTGCCACTGTGTGAAGAAGGTCCTTGCTGTCCCTTCACCTTGTGCCATGATTGGAAGTTTCCTGAGGCCTCTCAGTCATGGTTCCTGTTAAGCCTATGGAACTGTGAGCCAATCAAACCTCTTTTCTTCATAAATTACTCAGTCTCAGGTCGTTCTTTATAGCAGTGTGAAAGCAAACTAATACAGAAAATTGGTACTGGGAGTGCGGCATTGCTATAAAGATACCTGAAAATGTGAAAGCAACTTTAGAACTGGGTAACGGCAGCAGTTTAAACAGTTTGGAGGGCTCAGAAGTCAGGAAGATGTGGAGAAGTTTGGAACTTCTTAGAGACTTGTTGAATGATTTTGACCAAAATGCTGATAGTAATATGGACAGTGATAAGTTCTAGGCTGAGGTGGTAACAGAGGGAGATAAAGAATTTATTGGGAACTGAAACAAAGGTTACTCTTGCTATGCTTTAGCAAAGAGACTGACAGTATTGTGTCTCTACTCTAGGGATCTCTGGAACTTTGAACTTGAGAGAGATGATTTAGGTATCTGGTGGATGAAACTTCTAAGTAGCTAAGTGTTCAAGATTTGGCCTGGCTGCTCTTAACAGCATATAGTAATATGTGTTCACAAAGAGATAGTCTGAAATTGGAACTTATGTATAAAAGGAAAGCAGAACACAAAAGTTTGGAAAATTTGCAGCATGACCATGCCCATTTTCTGGGGAAAAATTCAAGCCAGCCATAGAAATTTGCATGAGTGAAGATAAACTGAAATTTAATAGCCAAGACAATGGAGAAAATGTCTCCAGGGCATGTCAGAGACCTTCACAGCAGCCCCTCCCATCAAAGGCCTGGAGGCCTAGGGGCAAGAAAAGTGGTTTTGAGGGTCAGGCCCAGGGCCCCACTGCTCTGTGGAGCCTTGAGCTCCAGCCGTGGCTAAAAGGGGCCAAGGTACAGTTCATGCCATGGCTTCAGAAGGTGTAAGCCCTAAGCCTTGGCAGCTTCCAAGCTTGGGAAGCTGTGGGGCCTGCAGGTGTACAGAAGACAAGAGTTGAGGTTTGGAGCTTCTGCCTAGATTTCAGATGATGTACAGAAACACCTGAATGTCCAGGCAGAAATCTGCTGCAGGGACAGACCCTCATGAAGAACCTCTACTAGGATAGTGCAAAGGGGAAATATGGGAGTGGAGGCCCCACACAAAGTCCCCAGTGGGGCACTGCCTTTTGGAGCTGTGAGAAGAGGACCACTGTCCTCCAGACCCCAGAATGCTATATCCACTGACAGCTTGTACTATACACCGGGAAAAGCCACAGTCATCCACAGGTATTCAACATTAGCCCTTGAGAGCAGCCATACGAGCTGTACTCTCCAGAGCCACAGGGCCAAAGCTGCCCAAGGCCTTGGTGCCCACTTCTCGCATCAATGTGCCCTAGATGTGAGACATGGAGTCAAAGGAAATTATTTTGGAGCTTTGAAACCTAATGACTGCCCTGCTGTGTTTCAGACTTGCATGGGGGTATGTAGCCCCTTTGTTTTCCCAGTTTCTCCCTTTGGGAATGGGAGCATTTACCCAATGCCTATACCCCCATTGTATCTTGGAAGTAACTAACTTGTTTTTTACTTTACAGGCTCATAGGCCTTGTCTCAGATGAGACTTTGGACTTGGACTTTTGAGTTAATGCTGGGATGAGTTAAGACTTCGGGAGATTGTTGGAAAGGTGTGATTGGTTTTGAAATGTGAGAAGGAAATGAAATTTGGGAGCAGTCAGGGGTGGAATAATATGGTTTGGCTGTTTTCCCATCCAAATCTCATGTTGAATTACAATCCTCAGTGTTGGGAGAGGGACATGGTAGAAGATGATTAGATCATGGAGGCAGATTTGCCCCTTGCTGTTTTCATAAATGTGAGTGAGTTTTCATGACATCTGGTTGTTTGAAAATGAGTGGCACTTCCCTCTTTGCTCTCTCTCTTTCCTTCCACCATGTGAAGAAGGTCCTTGCTTCCCTTTCACCTTCTGCCATGATTGTAAGTTTCCTGAGGTCCCCTCATCATGCTTTCTGTTAAGCCTGTGGAACTGTGAATCAATTAAACCTCTTCTGTTCATAAGTTACCCAGGCTCAGGTAGTTCTTTGTAGCAGTGTGAAAACAGCCTAATACACCCAGCCTCTATCTTCTCCAGGTTTCTGACTCCTTCAGGATTCAGCTAAATGTAACTTCCCCCCACAAAACATTTCTATTTATCCAAGTAACATCAGGTGCCAATTTTCTGGGATCCTTTGGTATACAAGTGGCATTTCAATAGCATTTTTCACATATGTTGTGATTGTTAAGTTACTTGGTTCCCATACTGAATCGTGAGGTCATTAATTATATAACATATTCTACAGGACACCTTTAATTATAATTAATACTGCCTTTAATTATGACAAAGAGAAGGAAAAAGAGGCAAGAAATGAGAAGGAGTAGCTAATAAAACTAATAGACATCTCAATTATAACAAGCACACAGGAGAATGCTGTACTCCACAGCCCTGACCAGTACTGCTCCTCCCTCTAATTTGCTTCCTCTTATATGGCACAGTTATTTGCTAAGTTGTTCAGATCTAGAACTTTGTAATAAAGAGTCTGACTCCACTTCTGATGATTGATTGATAACAGTTTTATGACACTACTCTTTGTTTTTCCGTTGCGCCCCAAAACACCTGGTGCTGCCTCCTTTGATGCAGGTGGGAGATTCATACCATGAATGGGAACTTTTACCCCAGTCCCACACTTAGCCTCAATAAAACCCTGAGGCAGTCTCTTTTCCTGTTTTCGCAAGTCATTTTTGACTTGTTTGAGAGGGTTGCCTTATTTTCTCCAAGGGCCTCCATTTATATATAAAAGGAAACTTTTCATAATCTCTTAGTGTGTGTGGCATCATCAGTCTGGACATTCAAACAAAATTTCAGGGGAGATCTCTTTTGTTTTGGGGGTTTACTACAATAATCTTGCAAGTTACTCTTAATTTCTTTTTTCCACACACACCTTATAAATCCTTCATCTGCACCTATGATTTATACTTTCAAATTTATATACCCAGTCTTTCCCCTTTTCACGGTCTCACTAGTCTAAGCCATTATCTTAACTTGTAAGTCATTTATCACAACCGTTCTATTTTTACCGCTCAAGAATTAATTTCCACACAACCATTACAGCAATATTTTTAAAAGATAAGTGATATTTAGCCTAGTATTTATGGCTAAATACCATCTGTTGGCCTTTCAACGCATTTAGAATAAAATCTAATGATTAACATCTACATGAGCTAAGCCATATCCTAATCTGATCTCATCTTCTCCAACTTTTTACCTTTCTTCCTTCCCCTTAATCTACTTAAACTACTTCAGCCACACTGGTCTTACTGCTCCTCAGTGCATTAAATATATTCTCTTTCTGGACCTTTACATAGGCTTGATCAGAAAGACTTCCTCAATTACCTGTATTAATCAGAGTTCTTCAAAGAAACAGAACCAATAGAAGACATGTGTGTAAGTATGCGTGTGGCTGTGTGTGTGTGTGTGTGTAATATATATGTATATATCTATATATGCATATGTAGATATATACTTGTATGTATATATCTCTCTATATAGATATATACATATGTAGAGAGTGGGGGGAGTGAGAGAGATTTTAAGGAATTAGTTTGCACAATTATAGAGGCCTAGAGGTACCATGGTTTGCTGTCTGCAAACTGAACACCCAGGGGAGCTTTTAGTGTAGTTCCAGACTGAGTCTTTACTCCTGCGAACCATGAATGATGATAGCATAAGTCTCAGTCCAAGGGTGGGAGGAGACAAACATCCCAGCTTAAGCAGTCAGAGAGAGCAAATTCTTTCATCCTCAACCTTTTAGTTTGATTCTAAATTCTTGGTGGGTTGGATGACACCCACTTGCATTGGCAAGGACAATCTGCTTTACTCACTCTATTGATTCAAATGCTGATCTCATCCACAAACATCGCACATTCATACTGAGAAATACTATTTAACAAAATACTGGAACACTCCATGATCAGTCAAGTTGATTCATAAATTTAGCCATCATATCATTCCTGCCTCAACTATTCACCATCAACTTCTATCACAATGCATCCCTTTATCCTGATTTATTATTTTTTTACATTTAATTGCATTTGGTTGCATTATAGGCAGCATTCAAACTTTGTTTCTCTCGTTTATTATAAAATATGGGGAAACGATTTAATTTATTATCCTCAGTTTCTACATGTGCATAGTATTGCACAACTTGCCTCATTAGGTCATTGTAGAATAAATAAAATAATAACTTCAGAGTGCTCAGCACATATTTGCAAAACAAATAAAAAAAGACTGGATCATCATGAAAATAACCATCAACAGGTGCTTCTAATTATTTTCATTATTCTTCCATAAGTATTTGATTTTGTAAGATAATATATATTTATGTGTATCTCTGGGTACATTCCTTAGGGAAATTATTATGATTTTATTAAAATATAGTTTATTGAGATGTATATGTAGGTACACATGTCATATATATAGTAAAATATATATATTTACCATATATAGCATAGTAAACTATGCTACATATATATCAATAAATTATATTTTAATTTAGTGATTTTTTACTAAATTAAATTTAACAATTAAATTATTAAGTTTTTTACTAAATAAAATTATTTCTTGTGTTCCCCATGGGTAACCATTGTTCATTGTAATATACAGTATTTTTAAATTTAATTTAATAGTTTTTTCTTTTTTCTTTTTCTTTTTTTTTTTTTTTTTTTGAGCCAGGGTCTTCCTTTGTCACCCAGACTGGAGTGTAGTGGCATCATTACAGCTCATTGCAAACTCAACCTCCGGGCTCAAGGAATCCTACCACCTCAGCCTTCCGAGTAGCTGGGATTACAGACAAGCACTACCACCCCTGGCTAATTTTTGTATTTTTTTTAGAGACAGGGTTTTACTATGTTGTCCAGGCTGGTCTCAAACTCCTGGGCTTAAGTGATCTGCCCACCTCACCCTCCCAAAGTGCTGGGACTACAGTTGTGAGCCACTGCACCCAGCCTAGGATATAGGTTATTTTTTTTTAATTTTTATTTTAGGTTTGGGGGTGCATATGAAAGTTTGTTACATAGATAAGCACATATAACAGGGGTTTGCTGTACATATTATTTCATCACCCCAATATTAAACCTAGTACCCAATAGTTAACATTCTTGCTCCTCTCTACCCTCCCACCATCCCCTCTCAAGTAGACCCCAGTGTCTGTTGTTTCCTTCTTTGTGTTCATAAGTTCTTATTGTCTAACTCACACTTCTAAGTGAGAACATGTGGTATTTGGTTTTTGGTTCCTGCATTAGTTTGCTAAGGATAACAGCTTCCAGCTCCATCCATGTTCCCACAAAAGACATGATCTTGTTCTTTTTATGGCTGCATAGTATTCCGTGGTGTATATACACCACATTGTTTTATCAAATCTGTCATTGATGGTCATTTAAGTTTATTCCTTGTCTTTTCTATCATGAATAACACTGCAATGAACATTCACGTGCATGTGCCTTTATAGTAGAATAATTTATATTCCTCTGGATATACACCAAGGAATGGAATTGCTGAGTTGAATGGTAGGAAATCAAGACATGAAAATCCATTTAAAAGATCAAAGAATCCAGGAGATAGTTTTTTGGAAAAAAATTATAAAATGGATAGGCCACTGGCTAGACTAATAAAGAAGAAAAGAGAGGAGGTCCAAATACACACAATGAAAAATGATTGCAGGGAATGTTACTACTGATCACACTGAAATAAAAACAACCATCAGAAACTACTACAAACACCTTGACACACAAACTAGAAAACCTAGAAGAGATGGATAAATTCCCGGACACATACACACTTCCAAGACTGAGCCAGAAAGAAATTGATTCCCTGAAAAGACAACTAATGAGCTTCAAAACTGAATCAGTAATAAATAGTCTACCAACCAGAAAAAGCCTGGGACCTGACGGACTCACGGTAAAACTCTACCAGGTGCACAAAAAAAAGCTGGTACCATTCCTACAGAAACTATTCCAAAAATGTGAGGAGGAGGCCCACATTTTAAGTTCTCCCCAACTTATTCAATTAGGCCAACATCATTTTGATAACAAAACCTGGCAAAGACACATAAAAAAGAAAACTTCAGGTCAATATCTTTGATGAACATCAGTGCAAAAATCCTCAACAAAATACTTGCAAACTGAGTTCAGCCACACATCAGAAAGCTAATCCACCATGATCAAGTAGGCTTCAACCCCAGGATGTCATGTTGGTTTAACATACGAAAATCAATAAATGTAATTCATCACATAAACAGAAATAAAGACAAAAACCTCATGATTATTTCAATAGATGCAGAAAAGTCTTTTGATAAAAGTAAACATTGCTTCATGTTAAAAACTCTCAACAGACTAGGTTTTGAAGGAACATACCTCAAAATAATAAGAGTTATCTATGACACATCCACAACATTATACTGAATGGGCCAAAGTTGGGAGCTTTCCCCTTGAAAACTTGCACCAGACAAGGATGCCCTCTCTCACCACTTCTGTTCAACATAGTATTGGAAGTCCTAGTTAGGGCAATCAGGCAAGAGAAAGAAATAAAGGCCATCCAAACAGGAACAGAGGAAGTCGAACTCTCTCTGTTTGCAGATGACATGATTCCTTATCTAGGAAACTCCATAGTCTCAGCCCAAATGCTCCTCCAGCTGATAAAGAACTTCAGCAAAGTCGCAGGATACAAAATTAATGTAAAAAGATCACAAGCACCTCTATACACCAACAGCCAAATCACAAATGAACTGCATTTACAATTGCCATGGTAAGAATAAAATAACTAGGAATACAGCTAACCAGGGAGGTGAAAGATCTTTACCATGAGAATTACAAAACACTGCTCAAAGAAATCAAAGAAGACACAAACAAATGGAAAAACATTCCAGGCTCATGGATAGAAATAATCAATATTATTAAAATGACTATTCTACCCAAAGCAGTGTACAGATTCAGTGCTATTCCTGTTAAACTACCAACAACTTTCTTCAAAGAACTAGGAAAAAAAAACTATTTTAAAATGCATATGGAACCAAAAAAAGAGCTGGAATAGCCAAGACAATCCAAAGCAAAAAGAACAGGGATGAAAGCACCATGCTACACAACTTCAAACTATATTTCAAGGCTACAGTAACCAAAACAGTATTGCACTGTTATAAAAACAGGCATATGGATGAATGGAAAAGAATAGAGAGTCCAGAAATAAGGCCACACATTTATGACTACCTGATCTTCAACAAAGCTGACAAAAATAAGCAATGGAGATAAGACTTCCTAGTCAATAAATGGTACTGGGATAACTGGCCAGCCATAGGCAGAGGATTAAACCTAGATCCCTTCCCTATACCATACACCAAAAAAAAAAAAAATCAACTCAAGATGCATTAAAGTCTTAAATGTCAAATCCAAAACTCTAAAAACCCTAGAAGACAAGCTTGGCAATACTACCATCCTGGAGATAGTAATGGGCAAATATTCCATGACAAAACACCAAAAGCAATCACAACAAAAGCAAAAATTGACAACTAGGAACTAATTAAACTTAAGAATTTCTGTACAGCAAAAGAAACTATTAACATAGTAAACAGACTGCCTACAGAATGGGAGAATATATTTGCAAACTATGCAACTGACAAAGTTCTAATATCCAACATCTATAAGGAATTTAAACAAGTTGATAGGTGAAAAACAAACAACCCCATAAAAAAGTGGGCAAAGGACATGAACAGACACTTCTCCAGAGAACACATCCATGTGGCCAACAAGCATATGACAAAAAAGCTCATTCTCACTGATCATTAGAGAAATGCAAATCAAAACCACGATGAGATAACACCTCACACCAGTTAGAATAGCTGTTATTAAAAAGTCAAAAAATGACAGTTGCTGGCGAGGTTGTGGAGAAAATGGAACACTTATGCACTGTTGGTTGGAGTATAAATTAGTTCAATCATTGCGGAAAGCAGTATGGCAATTCCTCAAAGAGCTAATAAATTATTATTAAACGTATTTTTTTCAGAATACATATTACATACTCCTTTGTACTTCTAAAATCTTTAAAGAGATGGAGGGAAATGTTTAGTGGAACATAAACAATAATATTTGGAATGACTTCCTTTAATATAACTCTTACCATGTGGCAAGGACTGTGCTATTTGGCAAGGTTTTTTTTTTTCATAATTTCACAAAAAGAAAAAATTACACATGTTTTCATTTAAAATCTGGATCAATAACTTTAAAACTCTTATTACTTTATCCTTTTTTATATCTTAGCAAGAGAGAAGGAGAGATCTGTATATTAAAATCTTAATAAAGTTAAAATGATTATATAGACCATATTGCTTCAGCAACTTCATTTTCAAACACAGGGATTTTATTTTAGGGTTTTTAGAGTTTTGGATTTGACATTTAAGATACCACCCAGAAAACTTTAGAGTTCCATAACCATGAAAGGTATTGGAAAAAGAGCAAAAGTGAAAGAAGAGAGTTTTTGTTGTGGTGGTGGTTTCCTATGGACACTATACAATAAAACAAAGAAATTAAACCAGGCTTCAATTGCCACTTAAGCATTCAATTAAAATTGTTAACAATGGTGTAACGCATCAGCAAAGCCACTGATGAGGATACACACCTAGCTGAAACCATCTGCTCCCTAATGGAAGAATGGTAACATTTACAATCAATAAATTGTTTGCTTTGGTCCATGGCCATTTTTCCTGAGTTATTGCAGAAATCAAGCAACCCTTTACCATAAATTGACTACCTGTTTAAGTATTTAATACTTGAATATATTTTATTTCAGCCTATGCCTAGTAATTTGGAAGATACTCCCATCAGTATTACTAAAATATTTACTATTACTATTCTAATAAATGCAAATGCAAAAATCAACAATCCTCTTCTAACTTTAATTATACTGAACATTTTTATTCTCTTACTACCTTTATAGAATGATCTAGCCTTAACACTTTTAAATATTAAAATATACAATTTTAACATAATTTTGGATAGTTTCAAGGCTTATACACAGGGATGGTTAATATTAGGTGTCAACCTGACTGGATTGAGGGTTGCCTGAATGGATGGTAAAATATTGTTTCTGGGTGTGTTTGTGAGGCTGTTGCCAGAAAAGATTGACATTTGAGTTGGTGGACTGGGAGAAGAACACCCACCCTCGAAGTGGGTGGGAACCATCCAATTGGCTGCCAGCATGGCTAGAACAAAGCAGGCAGAAGAAGGTGGGAAAAACTTTGCTTGCTGACTCTTCTGGATATCTTTCTTTTTCTCTGTGGCCAGTGCTTGCTTCTGCTCCTCCCACTCTTGGACATCAGACACCAGGTTTTTATTAGTCCATTTTCACACTGCTATAGAGAACTACCAGAGACTGGGTAATTTATAGAGAAAAGAGGTTTAACTGACTCACAGTTCCACATGGCTGGGGTGGCCTCAGAAAACTTACAATCATGGTGGAAGGTGAAGGGGAAGCTAGACGTGTCTTACATGGTGGCAGGAGAGAAAGAGAGTGAGGGGGGGAACTGCTGCACACTTATAAACCATCAGATCTCATGAGAAATCACCCACTGTTAAAAGAATGGCATGGGGGAAACCATTCCCATGATCCAATCACCTCCCACCAGGACCCTCCTCTGATACATGGGGATTACAATTTGAGATGAGATTTGGGTGGGAACAAGAAGCCAAACCATATCAAGGTTCTTCAGCTTTTGTACCCTAGAACTGGCAGCAGCAGCTTCCCGGGGCCTCTTGGGCCTTCAGACAGTAGAATGTAGGTTACACTGCCTGTTTACTGGCTTCTTTCCTTCCCCAACTTGTAGATGGCCTATCATGGTATTTTGCCTTGTAATCACGTAAGCCAATTCTCTGTAATAAACTCCTCTTTATATATACATATATCCTATTGGTTCTTTCCCTCTGGAGAATGCTGACTAATAAGTATCCCAATGTATTATATGAGAAATACATTTTATTAAAAAATATCTGTTAAACCTCGAAGATAAAGATTTATTTCACTTCATTTCTGGAAAGTATTTGCTATATAGCTGAGTTGGAAATACCCATCCATATCATGAAACTCATCAAACAAATTAGAAATAATTCCTTTGAGAACAACCTAACTTTATTTTTAAATTTAAATAAACTGGTTAATAAGCATCCATATGAAAATGTTCTCACTTCCGTATTTTAATTTTAAAACAGAAAAATAGATAAATCAATAACAAAGTGACATTTCCCTTCGAATATCTTGTTAAATCTCTCATGTTTTACTTCAGTGGTTCTTAGCTTTAGGGGCAGTGCATTCCCTAACTGTGCTTTTGTTTTCTTCCTTAGAGAGTCTCATACCTGAAACAACACATCTTTTGTCTGAAAAATGGGAGAAATACAACTGTGAAAGGAGAGATGGAAATCAAGGGCTAATATATTGATATTCAGTCTTGTCAATTTCAGAAAATTCTACTGCCTTAGTCCATTTCGTGCTGCTATAACAAAATACCTGAGACTGGGTAATTTATAATGAACATAATTTATTGGCTTCTGGTACTGGAGGCTGGGAAGTCCAAGAAGAAGGATTAGATACCTGGTGAATGTCTTTTTCTGTGTCATCTCATGATAGAAAGCAAGGAAAGAGCAAGAGATTGAACTGGGGTTCAAGCCCTTTCTTTTTGTTTTTTTTTTTTTTTAAGAGAGAGGTTTTGCTCTTGTTGCCCAGGCTGGAGTGTGCAGTGGAGCAATCTCAGCTTACCTCAACCTCCCTCTCCTGGGTTCAAGCGATTCTCCTGCCTCAGCCTCCTGAGTACCTGGGATTACAGGCATGCACCACATCTGGCTAATTTTGTATTTTTTTAGTAGAGACGGAGTTTCTCCATATTGGTCAGGCTGGTCTCGAACTCCCCACCTCAGGTGATCTGCCTGCCTCGGCCTTCCAAAGTTCTGGGATTACAGGTGTGAACCACCATGCCTGGCCTCCAGCCCTTTTGTAACCAGCATTAATCCATTCAGAAGGGTGAAACTCTCATGACGTAAAGCCCTCTTGTCAAGCCCCACCTCCCAATACTGTTGCATTGAGGATTAAATTTCCAAAGCATGCTTTTGGGTGGACATATTGCAGCCATAGCATCTATCTATGGAATTTAGTATCTGGAAATTGCTATTCACGATCAAGCTAACACCTGAAAGTCTTCTTTTTCTTCAATTTGAAGATTTTTTGTTTAAATCTTCTCCTTTGTGTTTTCTATTATCTCCATTAAAATCTTATTGCAATTATATAAAATGAATTATAAAACATTTAGAGACAGGATGTGCTTTCTGGAAATGTTTTCTTAAAGAAGGGGTGTAATTAAATTCTGATGACTACACCTATATGCCTAATTTTAACACCTAACAAAATTTTTGACCAAATTGCTTAACAGTTGATTTGTAAACCCCAGGGTCACAGAAATATCAGAGGCCTAATTCACGTCAACTTAGTCTTATTTATTACTCCATTCAAACCTTAAGTGGGTGGTACCATACACACTTCTCAGGCCAGAATTTACTTTAAGGTGACAGGGAATTGCTTCATGTGTATATCGTCACTTCATTTTTAGCCCTGGGACTCTTCCTATACAGTGGCCACTTGAAATGGCAAGAGTGCCTCAAAAAGATAGGGAAGTGATCATTCAGGGGCCTTCCTCAGTAATGAAACAAATAAGAGCTGATTGGAAAGCAAATAGCTGTTGGAGGTATTCTGTGGGCTTCGCCGAAGATCCCTGCTGAAACAACCCTCTCATAGTGAGGATCGCAATAATTATCCCTTGTACAGGCTTTTTCTTCTTCCTCATCTCATGTTCTCTCTTCCCCAACTCCTATTTTTTGGAATAATCTAATAAACTAATTTAACATAAGACCTTGTTTCAAATTGTGCATTCAGAGAACATAAGCTAAGGGACTATTGTGGAGGCTAAAGCAACTCTATCTTTGATGCCAACCTGCTATGTTGACTTATGATTAACTCCAGTTCAGGAAATGTTTCTAAGATTTTCACTTTCACTAACTTACTGCAAATGCTGCCTTAGGTCAAAACAATCTTGATATTATTATAAATACTCACTTGCCATAAGCCCTACCCTAGGCAATTTCTCTATAGTATGTAAATCCTGGGTCCAGGGGATAATGGCTGGGGATCTATCATCTCATCTCACCACAAGACATGACTTCTGTTGCTAAGTCTCTTGAATGTTTCTTTCTGAGAAACTGGATTTTTGACCCTCTTTCTTCGCCTCAGAATGTTTGGCCTTTGGGGGTAAGTTTGCATAGACCTGCTTACCACAGAATAATCATTAACAGGAGTAACTCTAGAAAGCTGACCCTGAGGATTCTAGAACTGTTTACTCACTGATTAAAAAGTAATAAAGATTCCCCTACCAGTACGGAGTGAAATTGTGATAACTCCTGGCACAACCATTAAGACCCTCATCTATAGTGGACTGGAACAAAGCACAGGTAAAAGGATATCTTTGGATTGTGCTTTTGAACAATTTTGTGTTTGCCTTACTTTACCGTTTTGATAACTTTGTTAACTATTGCTAATTTGTTAACTTCTCTTATTTTAGAACTTATAAAAAAGAAAAAAGTGCACATTCAGTTTAATGAGGTGTTAATTCAAGGAATGCTGTGAGAGTCAGAAGTTCTAAATGCCAGTGTTTAAAAAGATCCATGTCACAGTGATCTTGGGTAGGCTGGGACACACCAGCTCACTGACGGACCTGAAAATGGATTGCTGTGGGACTACAACCCTACTCAGGATATTCTGAGTTATAAGTGGTATGCTTGGTTGTTTTGTCTTACGTACAGGGAGGAGTCACCTAAGGTAAAAAAAAATATATGTATAAATGCCTTGGAAGGGACAAATGACTCAATGTTTGGTCAGGGTTCTTGGAAGGTTTGACAAAATGAGATCAGAGAATAGGAATATGGATGGATTTACAGGAGCGAGCAAAATATGTGTATTTTTTGTGTTTTATATTAATGCCCAGCAAACATTACTCACTATACAGGAAGCACTTAACAATAAGCCAGGTAGACTAGTGTATCTTTACTTGAAGGGATCATTACTTCTCATACTTCCTGTTACTTGTATGATGATTCCTTAAAAAGAATCTAAATTGTAAAAGGGATAAAATCTGTACATTGGTTCAAGAGCTTGAGCTCCCCTTAACCAAAGCTAACTTCACTACTGATAATGCTGAATGTACAAACAGTCATCAGCACAGAACAATGGATATGGCACTTGCTTTTGATATAAATAAATAAATACAAAGTATATAATGATATGGTAGGTGGAGTCCAATATTACAAAGCAAAATTAATCAGTATGACAGAGAGGTGGATGTCTTTTTGAAAAGGATGAACAGAATTTTTGAATAAGAGGAGACTGGAGCAGAGACCTAAAAGAAAAGAAGGAACAAGGGATATGGATATTTGGAGAAAGGATATTTCAGGAAGGTTGAAATTTAAGTTCAAAGTCTCTGGGGCGGAAGTAGGCCTTGTGTGATGAAATAACAGCCAGTATGCCAGTGTAGCTCGTGTAACTGAAAAAGAGAATATAACTATATGAAGCCCACAGTACATTTGGAGGGATGATTATAAGACTGCAAAAGTCTAAGTTCATGGGTATTATTATGAGTGAAGTGAGAAGCCATTGGAGAATTTGAGAAGAGGAGCCATATGACCTAAATGATAACTTAAGAGAATCTCTCTGTGAGGTGCATTTTGCCCATGGAATAATAATAATACCAGATGCAGGAAGTTACTGTAATAGTCTTTTTGTTTTGTTTTGTTTTGTTTTGTTTTTTGAGATGGAAGCTCACTCTGTCACCCAGGCTGGAGTGCAGTGGCACGATCTCGGCTCACTGCAAGCTCCAGCTCCCAGGTTCACACCATTCTCATGCCTCAGCCTCCTGAGTAGCTGGGACTACAGGCGCCCGCCACCATGCCCGGCTAATTTTTTATATTTTCAGTAGAGACAGGGTTTCACCATGTTAGCCCGGATTGTCTCGATCTCCTGAGCTCGTGTTCCGCCCACCTCAGCCTCCCAAAGTGCTGGGATTACAGGCGTGAGCCACCACGCCCAGCCTGTAATAGTCGTAGAGAGAGATGATCATGGTTTAGACTAGGTTAGTACAAAGAAAGATGGTGAGGAGAAGTGGCCAAATTCTGGATATACATTTGCATACACACACACACACACACACTCTTATGTACACATTTTTAAAGAGATCGACCTAATTAGAAGGGAGATTAGGAAGGATGGGCTCAAAAGTCTATTTTAACTCTCAATTTTTTTAGCCATGGGTCAAAGGGATTAATCAGACAAATATATTTTGTTTCTCTATATAATTAGTAACTGTAGAATTTGGATTATATATATAAATGTACATAAGCATAGTAATAGGTAAAAAAATACATATTTTCAGATTAGACTCAACATTCACTTTTATTCAATCTTTTAATTATATGTAAATATTTGGGTAAGCATGATGTGTGACTTGGATTTTCTTTCACACAGCCCAGAGATTCCTTAAAATTTCACTCACAGCTTTAGGGTTAAGAATATGTGTTCTCTGTAGGTATTTAATGCTTATGCATTTTTATTAACTTTTTTCTTTAGATTGCCAATCTTTTTATATTACTTCACAAAGAATTATGGGAAAGGACAAACTGTTTAAACTTTACAAGTTACTATTTTAGAAATAGAGACAGACTTACTGTGACTTTTGTTAGAGATTGCTTTTATGTCATGATTTCAGCTGATGCACTTTCAGAAAACCTGCAACCTGGATATATCACCATGATGTGCGAGATGCCACATCATGAGTCACAGTTGAGATGTAATTCATTTCCACATACACACGTCTTCAACTTTTACAATAAAGTTTATTGAAAAATGTATTTGTTAAAAAGATCAACTTTCCTCAATAATATTTTTCCCTTGATTTTAACATTTATATTCCTTGTCACCGGTTTTCCATTAGTATTTTAAATTGACATTTGAAATGACTTCTCTAAAGATAAGAGTCCAAACAGCAGAGACACTAACCTCCATTCACCTTAGGGAATTCAGGGTGAACTCTTTCATCCCAGGTCTTCTTTTCTTCTCCAGAAATCCACAAATTCCTTACCTCTAAAGACTTCTGCCATCCTAAGCTCTTCCCTGTGTCTTATGCTAGCTTTCCTCTGCAGCTGCCATAAAAATTTTCTATCATATTTCATGGTTTAGCAGATCTAGAATTAAAAAAATGAATTCGTAGAGTTGAACTCATCACCATTTTAAAGTTTCACATAAATGCTTCTCCCACCAAAATATAATATGCTTGGTTGACAGAATGGTTGTGTGGTTAAAACGCAGAAGAGGAAGCCAATCTTTGACTATATGTGTATTATCTTTATGGATCCAACTAGCATTTTGCAAGTCACCCACTATCTTTTTTCTCCTTACTAGTTTGAATTGGCTTATATATGTATTCATAATTATTTGGGTTATGCCTTAGATCAACGCTCATATTCATACAGACACAGAGGTTATATGTGTAGGATTGCATGTAACATTGAGGATGAAGATTTAACTTCTGTTAATAAATTAGTTGCTCTGGATACCTATTTGTCAAAGAGTTTTAGATCAGAAAAAAAAATAGCATCCAAACTTAATGTTCAATTTACAGATGAGAAAAACAAAGCCCAAAGAGAGGAAGTGACCTATTCCATGGTAGATGGCTAATTATTGAGGGAGCAGTGTCTAGAAGTCATGTCCCTTGTCATTCAATTACACATTTTTTTGATCTATAATACCATAGTTACCAATTGATTAGGGTGTTTGCAAAACTAGCAAACTAATGATGTATTTCCTAACAATGTTAAATTTACAGGAATAATTCATAGATGAAAACATCTACAATTTCCTATTAGGAAAAATATCCAGCACGCAGCCTACAGCATGCTTGTACGTTTTTGAACTGCAAACAAAACTAATCCTCTCGATATTAACCTCAAGTTTAAATTAGTAAGTCATATGTAATTACAGTTCAGTGTTTAAATAGGATTTACTTGAGGAGGGATTGCTTCAGTTTTACACAGAATCTGACAGAATGCCTAAAGTCAATATACTCCTCCAGGCTAACATTGCATCTGCTAGGCAAACTTTGTCTTTACTCAAACTTCAGAGGTGAGGAATGTGAATTATTGCCTAGGTGGATAATGATTATTCACTACAACCTATCCTTTTTTAAAAAAAGATGTTTCTCTGCATAAGACATAAATATTAATAAAGGCTTTTGTTCAGGAATCAGTGCTATGATCAGAAAAGTATGAAGAATCCATACTTCTAGAGTTGAGTTAGCCTAAGGGGAGACAGAAATACCTGACCTATATTAGATGACTCTAGCAATCACTGAGGGAGATAACAAATCTCAGGAATCAAATAAGCACCATTTCCTAAGGACGGAAATACTTCTGAGGACAATGGTAAAGCAGAAACATTTGCTTTGGAACTGCCCTAGAAACGACGCATAAAATTAAAGGGGTACTCCAAACAGACATTTTGTGTAAGACAAAAAGAAAGGTGAAAGAGTGAGATACATGTATGTTGAAAAGTATTCAGAACTCACACACAGCAAAGCCTCTCTTGTAGCCATATGAATTTCACACATCCAGCTCTCTTTATTTTTAGTTTAAAGGAGGCACTTATTTCAAAACTTTATGCTTGAAAGATAATACAAAGTCCAGAAACAAGGACCTTTAGACTTTATGTGAACACATCATCTTTTTCTTCCATAACTGCTGAGGCATTGTCCGTATGTCGCTTTGTGAAACATGTTAGTCTAGTACCTCACTCCTGTATTCTTAGAAGGGCCTAATGTTTGAAATAAATATGCTACTTAATTTCTGCATAACTCATATAAGGTGACTTTAAAATATCAGAAACAATTTTATTCTAAGCTACTCCATTATACTCCTTTTAAATTGGGGTGTGGAGGGGACAGACATTAACATATGTCATAAAATAATTTAATAATCCACTCTGTTGAGCATATTTCAAGTATATTTGCATTCACTCTATTTCCTTGACAAATTGCCAGTCTGAAAACTTTAATATACAAAATTATTAAAATTATTAAAGTATGTCTTAAATGTCCTCAAACTATGTAGCAAACATATCCAACATGTGTATGATGACCTAAATGGAAAATATGGACCATAATTATAATGTAGCAATTTATGAGTAAGGATGATGCGCTGGCTTAGGACCTGCATTAAATCGCTCTACCTCTAAATCCTCACCCTGTTTTTCCTCATGTGTTAGATATAAGTCTTCAGTGTGAGGTCACTCAGACTCGAATTTTATATGAATGAGGTTTTTAGCAGTGATGAAACTATTGAAAACATTCTAAGTTTTTTTATTCAAATACTTCAGATTGTCTCTAGTAAAGTTTTATTTTTATTGGAAAAAACTTTAAAAAATAACATACGAGTTGTTAGAATTACGTTAGCAATGCTAGACCTACAGTAAGGTGCATTAAATGCTAATTAAAATGAATAACACTCTAGGGTAACACTTATTTCTTAGAAAAGTATCTCCAGTGCCCTGAAAACATTAATTAGTAAGGAGCTAGATTATTGATGGGGAGAGTTCTTCAAAGATAACTGGGCAGTTACATCCTTGGGACTAGAAAAGAGAAGATTCCGTGGCTGTAGTCATTGGCTAGTCACTAAGGGAGCAAAAACAAAAACATCAAGAAAGTAAAAACAAAGATTCAATAGTATTAATAAGAAACATTCATCTGGCTCAAGCTGTTCTGTTAAGTAGTAATTTTAGCTTAGTCTCAAATGTCTCCCAAAGAAGTCTGAGATTTTTCAAAACACATGCCCATTGGATGACTTCTACTGACATCCAGGTGGCATGCTTACCACTTAAACCCCTTCCCCATATATCTCTTGTAGGTTCAGTTAATCTCTTCTTCTGGGCAATTTGTGAGCACCTGCCAAACTCTGAGATTGACAATGCTTAATGTGGAGGGTGAAGATGTCTACCTTGAGGCATTGTTTCATCTTGCTGCCAAAGCAGCTGGCAATGCCTTCCATCGCTGCAGAGGCTGCTGGCACCAACACCATGGCTGCTTTGTGCTCCCCAAGTCCTATGGAGATGTTTGAGCTTTTACTCACTTGTTAATTACAGGTCTTAAAGACTCAGGCATAAACCAATGGGATATCATGGGAAGGGAGCTGTGAATGACTAACTGAATTCCAATTGAGAATAATTCCTCCAATCTTATGCTGGTCTTTGAACCACATTTTTGCAACCAGTTTTTCTTAATAAAAATCACACTTTCCCCAGAAATTCTGTATTTCTGGTTTTGGACTGTTCACAAAGCAATTGTTGGCAACTCAAAACTTCCCAAGGCTTAGCTATATTATACCAGAGCTCTGTTTTCAATCAAAAAGTTTTCTGTATAGCAAAGTCAATATTCCTGTTGTACATGACATTCATTCTAAATAATGCTATTACTTGAAACTCTTTCATAAGGCTGATATTTGCAGGACTCATGGGTTACACTGCAAAATAATCATCTTTTGTCTTCCTCATTGCCTCATTCAATCTGCTCATACAGTAGTTAATCTTTATTCATGGTGATAGCTTGGAAAAATTCCATGTTTTCTTTAGTAATTTTGGGTTAATTCAAAGTTCTAGCGTCAAATTTAAATATGAACACAGACTTAGCAGTTAAAATACTGGTCCAAGACATTAATTAAATCATGAACTTAAAGTGAAGTCTCCTCCATTCATTGATCTGGGATCTGCACTAGGTAGGCAGCCTGTCCTAGACAAAGAGGTCATGGTGAGCTCCTTCTAATATCCAGTAAATGAGCTCTAGCCTTTCTCTTTTTTCAATAAGGCTTGCTAGAGATATATTAATTTTATTAATTTTCAAAGGACTTAGTTTTAGCTTTATGATTTTTGTATATTATTTGTACAAATTATTGATTTCCATTCATATTTTATTATTTTCTCCCTTATACTTATTTAGTTCAATTTGCTCTTCCTTTCCCAGTCTTTTAAGGTAAAATCTTAGGTGTTTATTTTCCATTATGAGCATTTTAACTTATAACACTTAAAGTTGAAATGTACATTTTTTGATAAACACTGTGTGTGTATACATCTCACAAGTTTTGCTACACTGTGTTTTCATTATCATTCAATTTTACTTATTTTCTAATGTGCCTTGTTCTTTTTCATTGTTCTAAAATTTATTTAGAATTGTTTAGCTTTATGCTCACATATTTGGGACACTTTAGGTACCTTTTCACACTGACTTCTAATTTGTTTATTATTTATTTTTTAATTTCGTTATTGTTTTTAAAAATTTGTGTGGGTACACGGTAGGTGCATATGTTTATGAGGTGCATGAGATATTTTGACAGGCATGCAATGTGAAATAAGCACATCATGGAATTTAATTCAGTTGTGCTCAGAGAACATATTCCATATTATTCAAATCCTTGGAGATGTATACCATTTTCGGTTCTCACATATTGTCATCTTATTAACCTTTCATGTATGTTAGGAAAATAAGGAATATTCTGCATTGGTTGGGTATAGTATTGTATAAGTGCCAATTAAGTCAGGTTGGTGGTGAATGTCAGAATTTCTATGTTCTTATCACATTTTGTTTTCTTATCCTAATTATTAGGAGATGCATTTAAATCCTAAATTTTACTTGTATTTCTCCCTTTAGTTTTGTCCATTTTCTGTGGACCTGAAGCTCTGTTACAAATGGGTAGATATTAAGGATGACTATATTTGTTGATTAATTGACTCTCTTATTATTGTGAAATGATTTTCTTTTTCTCTATTAATACTCTTTGTCTTGTAATCTACTTTATCTGACATCTACAAAGAAACATTCTTGTGAATACTGTTTGCATGGATTATTTTTCATATTTTTCATTTTATTCTACCTGCAGCTTTATATTTAAAGTCTTTCCCTTGTAATAATCACTTAGATTGGCCTTGCTTTTTATCTAGCCATACCATCTCAGCTTTTATTTAAAATGTTTAATGTATTTATATTTTATGTTACTATTAAGATGGGTTTGAATCAACCATCTTACCATTTGTCATTTGTTTTCTGTGTTCTTGTTCTATCTTTCCGGCAGTATTCCACATTAATCAAACATTTTTAATATTTCATTTTATTTTATAATATTTTTGCATAAATACTTGCTTTATTTATTTAATGCTTACTCTAGGGATTGTTGTATGTATTTTTATATTCAGTGTATTTTGAAATAATATTATACAACTTCAGTTTTAAAGAACCCTACAAAAGTATGTACCTACTTAAATCCTTCCATTCCTAAGAGCTATTATTGTCATATATTTTACTTTTACATATATGATGAATCACAAATTATGTTATTATTACTATCAAATAGGCCACTTTTTTAAATAGAGAAAAGCTCATATTTTTGCGTGTTTTTATCAGGATAAATATGCTGGTGTTTTAAAAACAAAACAGTAAGAAATGGGTGAATGTGGCAATTACAGGTATTAATTTAACACATAAATTTTGAATACTCTTAGAAATATTAATTATATACTAAACAAGCTATGGTTTATTTGTATTTCTGTCTACTACACTTTATCTGCATAACACATGTCTTCTGTTTTAAAGAACAAATTAAATGTAAAAGTAACGTTTACTTTTCCAGGGGATTTGGAAATTTTTTTAATTTTAAATAAGAGAGGGATCCTGGATAACTTAAAAGAATATAAAGCAGCATACTTTATATGGATTTGGATTTAATTCTAATTCTAATATTTTGGAGACATAGTTTTATTTCATTAAAGCTTAAATGGAAAAAATCAAGTTACATTATTTCCTCCAGGGAATTAAAATTAGTTTAAAAATAACTGCCTAAATAATTTTATACTTGATATAATGTCTAATCTCATCAGAAGCCCTATTGCTGCTTTTGTCATTAAATACAGTAAATACATTCTAGCACTCTTCTTATGTCCCTTTTTTGTTTTTTAACAGACCTCATCGAAAGCAGAGTCTGGCTTTAAGTTGAATAAGTTAATGAATTTAGTCAATCTATATTAAAGGAAAAATTAGTTAACATCTTTCTTACCACACCCATGACAGTTAGATTTCCATTTGTCTATATTATTTGGAGAATTCAACTCTTTATTATCAATAGGATGATTGACTATCAGGCAGTTAAATTTTGAGAGTTGAGAGCAGAGGGAGAGGTAAAGGAGAAGCCGAGTAGAGAATAACTGAGCATTTTATGTTTGTTTATTAAGGAAACAAAAGAATGCTATACTGGATTTATTCATTTTCCAACCATTTGTGTTGAGTTCAGTAGCTCCTAAGTATTTGTTTTCTTTAAATTTTTGTATTTTCCAAATGTCACATTTTTGATGAATGTGAATTGGTTTATAAATAAGTAAAATGCATTGCATGAACTCTCGGTATAAAATAGGAGTAAATACAATGAAATCTTGTCATTGCTCATAAAGCCTTCAAATCCAAGGTTTCATTTGCCAGGAAAAGAGAAACTGAATGTAATTTCTTTTCAACACTGAAATGAAATGCTTGTGTTCTAGGACATTTCAGTTTTGTGTATTGATGGGCAGTGGGGAGGGCTGATATACTATTGCTAAATTGCTAAATGTTATTAGGAAGGTTTCCTAAGGTTAAGGGTATAAAAATGTCAGTCAACAAACCACACTTGTGGTGAATCATTCAACAGTATTAAACCTGATGTGCCTCCTAGGTTTAATGTTGCATTAACTTCATCTTGCATTAACTTCAAATCCATTACTGAGTTTTGCGTCCAAAAATACCCTCTTTTTGCCAGCATTTATTTGTAAGATTCTTCTGATTGCACTGAGTTTCCTCTGCTGTCTTCCAATAATGACATTGTTTCAGCTGTGAGAACATATTAGGAAATATATGATGCTTGCAGTTTTGCAGAAGTTGATTTCCCCCTGTGGAATAATCTTCATTCTAATTTGACTGTAAAATCCCCCATAAATTATTTCAATCTCATTTTAGACTGGGACATATTTCATTGATTGGTAATAGCCTTAAATTACTTTTTATTGTGATTGTAATGTTTTCTTGTCAAATAGCAGGAAACAGTAAATTATAGAGTAATTTAACAGGTGGAAATATACACAAGCAAAAATTGTTAGCAACAAAGATAAACCATTAGAACAAATTCTAGTCTGCGCATACCTAATCAGTTCTTCCATGTCTACAGTTTAAGAAAGCAGTTCTGTCTGCCACAAAGTTTAGTTAATATAGAATCCTGAACTCATTTTTAAAATGTAATCTGTATATTTGAAACTCATGGAGCCGTAAAATTAGAATGCAACAAAATATATTTAATGGTATTTATTTGGGGTAAGGTTGCTTTAATACCAGAGGCTCCATATTGAAAGCCTAGTATTAAACTCTTATGCTAGCCATAAACCAGTAAAGACTCCTTGACCTTAAATGAGCTTTTCTAGTACACACTCAGTCAAAATGATGTCATCGCTTTTAGTGAAAGAGAAGTGGGTTACATACAAGAAATATAATTGCATTGAGAATACTGTAACCATAGAGTCTTCATGGAATTTGTTTGCACATTTCTGATGGAAGTCCTCAGGGATTTCTAGTCGGCTCTAATCAGAAATAAAAAGTTATGAAAATCAGTTTTCTTTCATAAGAAGCCTGAATCCGCAAAACCTTCTAGTTATCTGAGTGGCACTGTTGTCTAATCAAACATGAGTACTCCATTTCTAAACCCAAATCAGATCCACTTTAGTGTCCTTAGAAAATAGCTCAACATTTCCAGAATCCAGAGACATAATTAAAGAAAAACATCACTTTGGAGAATTTCAACAACCCTTAATCATCGACCTGTCTTTTTGGAAATTTTGAAATTATTAAATTTACCACATTGATTAATGGAATTAGCAATAGTTGGATATTATTAAACCAGATCAGTGAAGAAATGAGAAAATCCAAATGCAATGACATGACAAATATTTTACTTTGGGAAATGTTAAATAATATTAAATAATTGTGTGTGTATGATAGTATGTAAATTGTATGCTTGACTGCATTTGTGTATCTGCATATCTTTAAAAGTATCTTCAATTGAATATCACATTACATTTTTAATCACTAGAATAGCATACATTAGCATTAAATAAAGCTAAAGAAATGTACTATATGATTTTTTTCAATGAAGTAATGGAATGTGGTGGAAATTATATGGATTTCTGAGCCAAGAGGCTTGGATTCAATTGCTGGTTACAATATATACTTTTTATATAATTTTGTTCATGGAATCTTTTTCTGCATAACTATAAAAAGGGTAAGACTTATTTTAAGCTATGGCACTAAGATTAAATATCATATTTACACCTGCCTTAAATCCATTCTGAAACAATAAATAATGACATAAATTGTTTAGCATAGAGTGGATGCTCCATAAGTTTTAGCCATATTATTTTACCAAGTCTAAACTGTTACTCACATATGAGTGGGTTCCATTGCTTGGCAGGTGACAGCTCAATGACTACAACCAAAGAGGTTTAAATAAGAGGATTTTATTATTTATCAAAAGTAAGAAAACCAGGGACAGTTCCCAAAGCAATGCCTCTTCGAACGAAGATGAAAGTGAGGTATTTATTGTGTTGTTCAGCTGAGTCATTGTACGTAAAGGAAAGGTAAAGGCAGCACAGGCACCGTCATGGATCATGCTTCTTCACACATCACATATATAGTAAATGGTGAATAAGCTCCTCCCTGGGGATGGATGTTAGTGTGTAATATGGTTTGGCTCTGTGCCCCACCCAAATCTCGTGTCAAATTGTAATTCCGTGTTGGAGGAGGGGCATAGTGGGAGGTGGTTGGATCATCAGGGCGGATTTTCCCCTTAGTTATGATTGTGGGTGAGTTCTCATGAGATCTGGTTGTTTGAAAGTGTGTAGCACTTCTCCCTTGGTTCTCTCTCTCTCTCTCTCTCTCTCTCTCTCTTTCTCTCTCCCTCTCTTTCCTGCTGCCATGTGAAGAAGTGCTTGCTTCCCCTTTGCCTTCCACCATGATTGTAAGTTTCCTTAGGACTCAACAGCCATGCCTCCTATATAGCCTGTGGAACTGTGAGTCAGTTAAACCTCCTTTCTTTATAAACTACCGAGTCTCAGGTAGTTCTTTATATGAATGTGAAAACAGACTAATACAGAAAATGGTAATGCCGAGAGTTCACCAAAGTTTGCCTCCAATTTAGGCATCTCTGGATCCAACATGTTTTTGTTTGCCAGGGCTGGGCTTCTTCCTGTAACTTTTGGATGCAACAAAACCTCAAGGTCCAACAGTTACTAATGGGTACTTTTTCACACTGTGCATCTGAAAATATGGGGACCCTGGATTGCAAATCTCCCCAAAACATTCCACTCCTGATTCTTGAGGGGTTAGAGATGGAGCTCATTCTTCTGTATCTACTTCATGTTGTGTCTTCTAAAGTTAGAGGAGTGAAACTCTCCAGCTGCTGAGTTCACATAAGTTTTTGGGTCCTCTAAAATTGCTTGAAGGGGCAAGTATTGTATTAGTAATACAAGCTCAAGATGGAACTGCTACAGTTTGGAGGACACAAAGTTTACTATCAATTTAAATGTACAGGGACTGAAAAGTAACCTGAGAACAATGGCCACTAGGGGCCCCAGCAGAGAAAGAAACCAGGTGAAGTGAGAGTGCATTCTAAACTTGGTTGGTTGAGCTACACTTTTTGTTGAAGGAACACAGCTATTCTGCTTGTTTAAACATTTCCTTTATATTAACCTCTATTTCCCCAAAGGCATTTACCCAGGTGCAATAGAAGATATTGGTGACTGCATGTATCCCTCCTTGTTCTGTTAGTAAATAGTCTAAATCCAATCAGTTATTCAATACTACATTAGCTAGTGAATTTAAAGAAAGATGCATATTTCGGAGATTCTCCATCATTTTAGCTTCCAGATTCTCAAGTGTTCAGGTTAAATTTCTTAGGGTGACCTTAGTCAAAATTCCAACAAGAGGCAGCCACAATTAGTGCAATAACCCTTTGTGGTCTATTATAATGGGTGGTCATATTATGAAACGTTATCTAATGGGCCCCAGAAGGCCCACAGTACATTGTCCTAGCTGTATTACATTGTCAACACAGGGGTGAGCCACTGCAAGTAGCAGAGAGGAAAGAACCATAGAGAATTTATAGCTAAGGAGCTTGTGGTGGGGTGAGCCACAGATGAAAACATATCCTGGAGGTGCACACACCCTCGTGGGAGTGATGAAGTTTAACAACCAAGCAATTGGAGGCCCCAAGGGGCACAGGTAGTCCCATCACATTAGAGGAATAAGGATCCTCCATAAGTCAGGCTAAGATTTACTTGTCCTGTTGAAGCTCTTCCATCAGCTTTGAGGGTGAGAAATAATAGTTTCCAATATCAAGGAATTTATTTATCTCTTGCCAAAGTTTACATTGATTATGATAACCAGTGTTATCGTCTATTATGTCCCCACAGACCTCTGTGAGAAAACACTAATGGTTGGTGTTTAGAGTGCAATGGCTAGTGAGGTTAAAGTTGAAAAGTACATAACAGATTCCTCTCCATAACATATTTGATACTTTACCCCTTTTCCTGAACTATTTAAATGAACAAGGCCTATTCTCCTGGTGACACGGCCCTTAGGGGTGAATTCCACACAATCTATAGGCCAGGAAGGACCTATTCAGATCACAATGGGCACAGGTGGGATCTGGGATTTTCACTTTGCCACCCTGAGGTTAATGTCTCCCCTCAAAGATAAGTAACAAGCCACCTCATAGGAGTCTGGAGATGCCTATGGCATATTCAACATTGGACAGGTTATTCCCACTGGGTATAACATGGGAGAAGTTTACTATGCATTGGCTTCCCAGAGACCACTGGCTGAGAAGCCAATGGTCTAAAGTGGCCAACCAGCATAAGGGAAAGAGAGGGTTCATTCTAAAATATTATATGGAGAGATTCATCACCAACTAAGAATCTCAACAGAATATAAAAGGGCAATAAGCATGAAGATTCCTACAAGGATAAGAAAGATGTCTACTATGTCAAAAGAATGACAAGGAAACATTTTACTTATCTGAGCTTTTTATTCTGAAAACCAATTTGAGGTCTATGACAGGTTCACAAGTGTATGCTGCAGAGGTGTTCTCTGGGAGCTCCTGGGCTTTGTTCACTCTGGAGTGATGGATCCAGGGAGTTATTCCCTGGAGTTTAAGGGAATAATTTGTAGTTAGAAGAGTTAGGCAGGGCCCTATCTTTATGGGGCTGAGTTGATCCTGGGGGAACATTCTCTTCCAGGTCTTGAGCTGTACCCAGTCCCCTGGGTTGTATGAGTGAAATTTTCCCTTGGAGGGGACTGTGAGGCTTAGGTTGCCAAAAGGGTTAAAGAGCAGCTACCATGAAACCCAAATGAATGATGTGCTTTTGTGTCTCTTTCTATATCCTCGTCTGGGCAAGAAAGGCAGCTGGTCAGGCCCAGATAAGGCCTTTCACATAACATTTCAAAGCGCTAAGTCCCACTTTGCCTCTAGGTGCTGCTTGTATGTGGACCAAAGTTATGTATAATAGCTTCAACCAGTTTTCTTTGGCTTCCTGACATAACCTGGCTAAAGTACCCTTGAGAATTCTATTAGCCCTTTAAGTCTTCCCTGAGAATTGTGGTCTCCAGGCAGCATACAACTTCCATTGTTTGCCCAAGACATGGGAAGTTTTTGCCACTAAGTTAGAAGTAAATAAGGACCCATTATCCTTCTGGATGTACCTAGGAAGACTGAATGGAGGGATAGTGTTTGTAAGTAAAGCCTTTATGACTTTTCCTGACTTTTTGGTCCAGCATAGAAAAGCCTCTATCCAAACGGTAAGGATATTAACAAGTACCAAGGACTATTTAAATCCTCCAGGAACCATAGGCCTAAGAGTGAAGTCAACATGCCAGTCTTCCTTGGGCAGTTCCCCCTGAATTGTATCACTTTAGCAAAAGGAGGTATGGGAGGTCTGGTTTGGGCATTGTTTTTCTGACCATATAAATATTAGTTCATCACTTTGCCGTTATTTCCTTGGGGTTCTCATTATGAGAAACCATGCATAGCCTGAGGAGTCAGGTGAATGTTTTACAATAGCCCACCTCAGATTTTTGGGCACTCATATCCCACCACTCTTGCTTAGGGCCTACTGCACTGAGAGGGAACTGATGATATCCTCTTGTGTGACCTCCTACAATTCCCCAGGGGACACTTCAGCTTATATTTGTAAAGATGTACTGAAGAAAGCAAGGAAATTTGGAGGACCTCCCCTCTTCTTACAACTCTTTTAGTCACAGAATCTGCCAGGTTGTTCCCCATTAGTATTTCAGAGTCCCCATCTCATGACCCCAGCAATGGACTACAGTAATCTGTCTAGGCATTTCCATCACCTGCAGCATTGCCAATATTTCTATTGCATATTTGATTTCTACATTAGTGGCATTGAGAAGTCCCCTTGTCTTCCAGAATGCACCATAGGCATGGACCACAAAGAAAGTGTATTTTGTGTCTATGTGAACAAGTCAAGGACTTGTCCTTTCCTAGTGCTAGGGCTGTGGTTAAGACTATTATCTCAGCCTGTTGGGCTGAAGTCCCTTCAGGGAGGCCCTTAGGCTTGGTAGTTTCTTGTAGGGACACAACTGTGCATTCTGCCCTTCTTTGGCATCCTTCCTTGAACTGACTGCCATCTACAAGCCATATGTCTTCCGAACTAGGAAGAGGGTTGCTCTGCAAATCTTTTCTACTGATATATATTTCCTCTATGGTGGTGGAGCAGTCATGGATTAGGGTATCCTTGGTAATGGGCATTAGGTTAACAGGGTTTAGGATTTGGCATATATGCAGCAGAAGTTGGGGGTGTACACCAGCAGGGCCCAATACTGCAGCATTCTGCTTCTTGTTAACCAGTGATGCCCCCTTGGCTTCCAATACACTTACTTGTCACTTGGTGGGAGACCTGAATTGTCAAATCTTGGCCCATTGTGAACTCTCAGCTTCCTGGGTAAGTGTACAAGTGGCAGCCACTGCCATAGTACAGGGGGATCACCCTCTTGCAATACCATTAAGTAGGTCACTAAGGACTTGCTTTATGAATCTGGGTGCTCCTGTATTGGGTGCATATATATTTAGGATAGTTAGCTCTTCTTGTTGAATTGATCCCTTGACCATTATGTAATGGCCTTCTTTGTCTCTTTTGATCTTTGTTGGTTTAAAGTCTGTTTTATCAGAGACTAGGATTGCAACCCATGCCTTTTTTTGTTTTCCATTTGCTTGGTAGATCTTCCTCCATCCCTTTATTTTGAGCCTATGTGTGTCTCTGCACGTGAGATGGGTTTCCTGATTACAGCACACTGATGGGTGTTGACTCTTTATCCAATTTGCCAGTCTGTGTCTTTTAATTGGAGCATTTAGCCCATTTACATTTAAGGTTAATATTGTTATGTGTGAATTTGATCCTGTCATTATGATGTTAGCTGGTTATTTTGCTCATTAGTTGATGCAGTTTCTTCCTAACCTTGATGGTCTTTAAAATTTGGCTTGTTTTTGCAGTGGCTGGTACCAGTTGTTCCTTTCCATGTTTAGTGCTTCCTTCAGGAGCTCTTTTAGGGCAGGCCTGGTGGTGACAAAATCTCTCAGCATCTGCTTGTCTGTAAAGTATTTTATTTCTCCTTCACTTATGAAGCTTAGTTTGATTGGATATGAAATTCTGGGTTGAAAATTCTTTTCTTTAAGAATGTTGAATATTGGCCCCCACTCTCTTCTGGCTCGTAGAGTTTCTGCTGAGAAGTCAGCTGTTAGTCTGATGGGCTTCTCTTTGTGGGTAACCCAACCTTTCTCTCTGGCTGCCTTTAACATTTTTTCCTTCATTTCAACTTTGGTGAATCTGACAATTATGTATCTTGGAGTTGCTCTTCTCGAGGAGTATCTTTGTGGCGTTCTCTGTATTTCCTGAATTTGAATGTTGGCCTGCCTTGCTAGATTGGGGAATTTCTCCTAGATAATATCCTGCAGAGTGTTTTCCAACTTGGTTCCATTCTCCCTGTCACTTTCAGGTACACCAATCAGACGTAGATTTGGTCTTTTCACATAGTCCCATATTTCTTGGAGACTTTGTTCCTTTCTTTTTATTCTTTTTTCTCTAAACTTCTCTTCTCACTTCATTTCATTCATTTCATCTTCCATCGCTGATACCTTTTCTTCCAGTTGATCGCATCGGCTACTGAGGCTTGTGCATTTGTCACGTAGTTCTCATGCTGTGGTTTTCAGCTCCATCCGGTCCTTTAAGGACTTCTCTGTATTGGTTATTCTAGTTAGCCATTCCTCTAATGTGGAGCCAAGATGGCTGAATAGGAACAGCTGCAGTCTACAGCTCCCAGCATGAATGACGCAGAAGATGGGTGATTTCTGCATTTCCAACTGAGTTACCGGGCTCATCTCACTGGGGAGTGCCAGACAGTGGGTGCAGTGCACTGTGCATGAGCCAAAGCAGGGTGAGGCATCGCCTCACCGGGGAAGTGCAAGGGGTCAGGGAATTCCCTTTCCTAATCAAAGAAAGGGGTGACAGATGGCACCTGGAAAATCGGGTCAGTCCCACCCTAATACTGTGCTTTTCCAACGGGCCTAACAAACGGCACACTAGGAGATTATATCCCGCACCTGGCTCGGAGGTTCCTATGCCCATGGAGCCTCGCTCATTGCTAGCACAGCAGTCTGAGATCAAACTGCAAGGCAGCAGCAAAGCTGGGGGAGGGGCACCCACCATTGCCAAGGCTTGAGTAGGTAAACAAAGCAGCGGGAAGCTCAAACTTGGTGGAGCCCACCACAGCTCAAGGCCTGCCTACCTCAGTAGGCTGCACCTTTAGGGGCAGGGCACAGACAAACAAAAGGCAGCAGTAACATCTACAGACTTAAATTTCCCTGTGTGACAGCTTTGAAGAGAGCAGTGGTTCTCCCAGCATGCAGCTTGAGACCTGAGAACTGGCAGGCTGCCTCCTCAAGTGGGTCCCTGACCCCCAAGTAGCCTAACTGGGAGGCACCCCCAAGTAGGGGCAGATTGACACCTCACATGGCTGGGTACTCCTCTGAGACAAAACTTCCAGAGGAACGATCAGGCAGCAGCATTTGCAGTTCACCAATAACTTACTCTTCTTTTTTCTACTTTCCTAAATGGAAACATAGGTTACTGATTTTAGATCTCTCTTCTTTCTCTATAAATGCATTCAATACTATAAATTTCTCTCTAAGCACTGCTTTTGCTGCACACCACAGATTTGTTATGTTGTGTTTTCATTTTCCTTTAATTAAAAAATACACTTTTAGTTTCTCTTGAAATTTTCTTTTCTCTTTTTTTTTTTTGATGGAGTCTCACTCTGTTGCCCAGACTGGAGTGCAGTGGTGCGATCTTGGCTCACTCCAACCTCTGCCTCCCGGGTTCAAACGATTCCCCTGCCTCAACCTCCTGAGTAGCTGGGACTACAGACACGTGCTACCACACACGGCTAATATTTTGTATTTTAGTAGGGACGGGGTTTCACCATGTTGGCCAGGATGGTCTCCATCTCCTGACCTCGTGATTCACCCACCTTGGCCTCCCAAAGTGCTGGGATTATAGGCGTGAGCCACCCCGCCCAGCAGAGATTCTCTTTTTTACTTTATCTTTTAGTTTCTTTGACTCGTGTTATATAGAAGCGCATTGTTTTGTCTTCATGCACTTGAAGATTTTCCAGTTATCTTTCTGTTATTGATTTCTATTTTAATTCCACTGTGGTCTGAGAATAGACATTGTAAGATTTCTATTTTTAAAAATTAACTCAGGTGTGCTTTATGGCCCAGAATGTGGTATACCTTGAGTGTTGTTTGACATTAACAGGCAATATGTCAGAAGGGACACAATATGTATTTGTGAGATGTCATTTACTTAAAGAAGTGTTCACAGATTCATTAAGTGTAAAACTGAATCATATGGAAACAATATGAGATTATAAAATAAATATTAATGAACTATATTGCAGGAGACAGCAAATCGTTTATGGAAACCAAATGAAATGCTATGCCAATAAAAAACAGACAAGAATAAAGAGATAAAGTGCAAAAAAAGAACAAATGACTATAACATCACACATAGGCATTGGACTAAACTAATCAGGAAACTGAAATTATTATGAAGGATCAAAGCACAGGAAAGATGGTTTCTGCTCTACAGCGGTGCAGCAATTTGCTGTGTTATTTGCATTCCATGTATACTTGTTACCTATCTTACTATCTCACATTAAAACAAAATGTTCCCTAACATTTATCCATTTTGGGAACCATCAAGAAAAGACGAGGTCAGACTTATGACAGAGCATGTTTATAATTGCTGAAAACAAGATCAGGTATCTACTGAAATTTCAGGAATTTACATTGATACATCTTATAGCTGGTATCTAAGAAGATCATAAAATTAACAATTTTCTAGAAACATCTTTAAAAATAAATAAACTTCTTATAAACTGATATTTCCCCTTTTTCAAAGGCAAGTTTCAACATTGAGTTGGAAGTTTTGATCTGCATCTATGTCATCTGCTAATATCAGACAAATATCATCATTCTTATAGGTGTGGCCACACATTTTTTTGGATTCAAAAGTTGTGCATATCAATTATTAAAATGTTTTAATTTTTTAAGTTGTAAAGAGAAGAAGTTTCCAATATTGTTTCTGGGTATGCTAATGAGATTACATTATTTATGACATGAAACAAATTATTAAGCAGCTTCACAAAAGACATAAGTCTTAGACCTTCCCTTAAAGTTTGAACTTTTCTCATTTACAAAATTACACTAATCCGGGGGACTAAAGTTTCCCAGGATATGCAAATTTCTGAATTCACTACACCACTATGTCATTTATTTCTATGTTTCTATGTGTGCAATAGGCTTTCCTATAATAGTTTAGGCCACAACACCCACAGAACACAGATGTGTGCCTTTCTCAAAGTGAATGAGCTTAACCTGAAATGGCTTATGATTCATTCTGTTAATATCTGTGCAATTAGAGGAAGCAAAGCTACTTTTGGTTTTCCAGACTTAGCAGTAAAACTTATACTTTCGAAACCCTTTCAATTTGGGAGCATATTAACCACTACATTTCTTTTAAGCCTGACTTAATCTCATCATCTACTTAATCCATAAGTTGTATTTCCTCATTGAGAGCCTCTTCTTTCTGCTTTAGCACTTCTACTGCCCTGCAAATACTGATTATCTCTCAGAGTCCCATGATGACATGACATTAATATGTTTGTTGTTTTAAAAAAATCTCAAGTCATAGAAGAATTTTAAGTTCTGAAGTTTGTAGCAAAATTCAAAATGTCTTTTATAATGTATTTTCTCATTGTTGCTTTCATTTTTTGCTTTCAACACTATTTGGCACACTTTAATGATTTAATTCTGGTTGAGACTAGATTTGATTCTCTGATTTGACGCAGAATAAAATTCCTAACCCTATGAACTATCAATGCTCTATGTTCTAGGACATTGATAGAATAAATCAATGCTCTAGATACTGATGGGAAGGCTTCATAATCATGGCAGAATAGACTGATAGAATATATCAATGCTGTAGATACTGATGGGAGGCTTCATAAACATGGCA
Organism: Homo sapiens; assembly: GCF_000001405.40. Classification (NCBI taxonomy): domain Eukaryota; kingdom Metazoa; phylum Chordata; class Mammalia; order Primates; family Hominidae; genus Homo; species Homo sapiens. Next base: position 81,014,221 of record NC_000003.12, read on the forward strand.
GAATAGACTGATAGAATATATCAATGCTCTAGATACTGATGGGGAGCCTTCATATTCATAGCAGGATATACTGATAGAGTATATCAATGCTCTATACTGATGGGGAGGCTTCATAATCATGGCAGAATAGACTGATAGAATATATGAATGCTCTAGATACTGATGGGGAGGCTTCATAATCATGGCAGAATAGACTGATAGAATATATGAATGCTCTAGATACTGAGGGGGAGGCTTCATAATCATGGCAGAATAGACTGATAGAATATATCAATGCTCTAGACACTGATGGGGGAGGCTTCATAATCATGGCAGAATATGCTGATAGAATATATCAATGCTCTAGATACTGATGGGGAGGCTTCATAATCATGGCAGAATATGCTGATAGAATATATCAGTGCTCTAGATACTGATGGAGAGGCTCCATATTCATAGCAGAATATACTGATAGAGTATATCAATGCTCTAGATACTGATGGGGAGGCTTCATAATCATGGCAGAATAGACTGATAGAATATATCAATGCTCTAGACACTGATGGGGGAGGCTTCATAATCATGGCAGAATAGACTGATAGAATATATCAATGCTCTAGACACTGATGGGGGAGGCTTCATAATCATGGCAGAATATGCTGATAGAATATATCAATGCTCTAGATACTGATGGGGAGGCTTCATAATCATGGCAGAATACGCTGATAGAATATATCAGTGCTCTAGATACTGATGGGGAGGCTTCATATTCATAGCAGAATATACTGATAGAGTATATCAATGCTCTAGATACTGATGGGGAGGCTTCATAATCATGGCAGAATAGACTGATAGAATATATCAATGCCCTAGATACTGATGGGGAGGCTTCATAATCATGGCAGAATAGACTGATAGAATATATCAATGCTCTAGATACTGATGGGGAGGCTTCATAATCATGGCAGAATATGCTGATAGAATATATCAGTGCTCTAGATACTGATGGGGAGGCTTCATATTCATAGCAGAATATACTGATAGAGTATATCAATGCTGTAGATACTGATGGGGAGGCTTCATAATCATGGCAGAATAGACTGATAGAATATATCAATGCTCTAGATACTGATGGGGAGTCTTCATAATCATGGCAGAATAGACTGATAGAATATATCAATGCCCTAGATACTGATGGGGAGGCTTCATGTTCATGGCAGAATAGACTGATAGAATATATCAATGCTCTAGATACTGATGGGGAGGCTTCATAATCATGGCAGAATATGCTGATAGAATATATCAGTGCTCTAGATACTGATGGGGAGGCTTCATAATCATGGAAGAATATGCTGATAGAATATATCAGTGCTCTGGACAATAGTAAATATCTATCACAGGTTCAACAAATAAAAGCAGAGAGAAATTCAATCTGTAGCCCCAGATACAAGTTTTAACATTAACTTTTAAATTTGACTTTTTTGTCATGGAAAATTAATGTGCAAGAATAAAGAAGCCAGAGCTATTAAGAGAACTATCAAAGGTAAATCTCCTGAGAGGAAAAATACTGGATTAAAATATATTTGCCCAAATATATGCCTTTGAATAATGGCAACAAATATAAAAATGTTGCATGGCTCAAGAATAATCTATAAACTTACCTTCCTTTTCTAATAATATACACCCAGAAGAAGCTATAAAAATAGTTACATATAGGGTATTGGATAAATAACACTAATAATCTGAATATTTAAAATCCCTCGTTTATTCAAACATTTGTGAATTACAGAAATTCCTTGTTTATATCATTTACAAATAAACTTTGAGTAAATGTCTCATATGACAAAGATTTCACTTAATATCTCCGGAAGCAGTCCCTACCTTTGTTGAACAGTTGTAACTATTATAATTTTACCAAATATTATGAGATAATAACCCTTTTCTTATAATTTTCAATCATTGATTCTATTCCTACATCCCTGAAAAACACGAAAGGAGTTGGCTCCGATTTTACATGGTTATTTTAAAAATATTTTGATAACTTTGATGTCTTTACATTTTCTTTGTCCTTCTAAATAAATTAGATTTCTTCAACCATCCATATATGTAGCACAGACTGTAGCTAACCAAATGAGTCTCTCTGGCTCTTAAGTACTCTTTTTTGTCAAATTTCATCTTAAAATGTGGTCTCAAAAATTGAATCAATATTTTATAAATTGCCTGATTAATTTGATATTCATGGTAAGGCAAAAGTAATTGGATTAACAACTAAGACCTTATGTGGATTTGCAATATAATTCTACTGCAAAATTGACTTCAAGACAGTATGTGATAATTGTTCAAGAATCTTACACTTAGGCCTGGTGTGGTGGCTCAAGTTTGCAATCCCAACACTTTGGGAGGCTGAGGCAGGGGGATCTCTTGACCCCAGGAGTTTGAGACCAGCCTGAGTAACATATTGAGACCCCATATATACAAAAAAATTGAAAAATTATTAGCTATGTGGTGCATGCCTGTGGTCCCAGCTACTCTGGAGGCTGAGGTGGGAGGATCGCTTGAGCTTGGGAGGTTGAGGCTGCAGTGAGCCATGATTGCACCACTGCACTCCAGCCTGGGCACTAGAGTGAGACTCTGTCTCAATAAAAGAAAATGATATTAAACATATTCTTAAATTCTCCTTATAAGCTTATAGGGAAGAGATTTCTGATTATACAAATACTTTAAAAAATATTTTGTTTTGGTTGTGTAGGTGGAACCAGTACATTTGGTCTAACTCATTACCATTCTTCCTTTCACCTTTTTGCTGAAATAGAAATTTGCTCCTCCCCAGACACTGCTTTTTCCGCTTTTCTCTTGAGCCACGGAGGCTTTTGTTTTTCCTTCTACATCCTCCATACAACTTGTTCTTTATTTAGTTTCCTTTCCATCTCCCTAAAAACTCTCAGCTCCAAATCTTATGTTCCAACTTTCCCACATAGTGGCCAAGATCTGTGAACCTACTGTCATTTCTCAATTACTTAAGCTCCTGACACTCTATCTTATTTCTTTGTGATTAAAATAAACCCATAGATCACCCCTTCCACACCTTACCTCCTCAATTCCTTTTTTTATCTTATCTTACCCTGCACCCTTTCTCAGCTATTCCTCCCTATGTTCATACTATAGAACTTCTCATTACCTATAACTACAGTTCTTCAAAATTTTAATTCCATGCATCTCAACAACCACCAAATTTTATCTTTCAAACCAACTCTTTAGCACCTTGTATTAGTCCGTTTTCATGCTGCTGATAAAGATATACTGGGGACTGGGCAATTTACAAAAGAAAGAGGATTAATGGACTTACATTTCCAAATGTCTGGGGAGGCCTTATAATCATGGCGGAAGGCAAGGAGGAACAAGTCACATTGTACATGGATGGCAGCAGCCAAAGAGAGAGCCTGTGCAGGGAAACTCCCATTTTGAAAACCATCAGATCTTGTGAGACTTATTCACTATCATGAGAACAGTGCAGGAAAGACCTTTCCCATAATTCAATCACCTCCCACAGGGTTCCTCCAATGACACATGGGAATTGTGGGAGTTATAATTTGTGATGAGATTTGGGTGGGGACATAGCCAAACCATATCACACCTGGTTCCAACCATCTTTACACTCCACTGAGATCTCTGATTTTGAATTTGTCACTCTTCTCTTCAATACCTCTCTCCTCTCCTTTTCCTGCTTAAATTTCATAGTCATTGTCACCATTTTTTTTGCATATACCATAGACTCTTGTCCCTGTATTACTTGGCTTTTCTCCATTGGCTTCAGATAAGTTAGAAGCCAATTATCTTCACAGTATATTCTTCCCCAGTTATGCACTCATCTATAGCTATAGCAACCTCCTTGCTATGTTCTTTGACAAGAAAGACATGCTCCAGCTCTGGGAGCAGGTCAGAGGAGCCTATTTGAGTTTGACTGTCTCTTCTGCTTTCAATGTGCTTCCAAAAGATATTTTTGTGGGCTCTTACCTCCTCCAAGTCTTCTTGTCTTCTTGTCACGTCTTCTTGTCACTGAAGTCTACACTGACCATTTACTTAAAATTTGCATCTACCTTTTGCCACCTCTATCTTGTTTTTTTTTAAACTGTTCCTTTTTTTATTCCTTTATTATAGAATATACATTTTTTGGCTTTTCTTCACTGGAATGTAAACACCATTAAGGCCATAAATATTATCAGCATATTTTTCTTTTTAAATATGTACCATGCACATAAGATATTACCCAATAATGAGGCATTTAATAATTATCCATTTACTGAATTAATGGGTATTTAAATAAGCATTATAAGGTTATGTCCCACTCATTTATTATTTTATGTTTTTTACATCTTCTAAACCAAATTCATCCTTAGGTAAATCTACAATGAACATGTTCTTTAAGAACAGAAATTAACATTCTCACATGTGTAAATATCTATTCTGGCTCTAGATGCTAACTTTTTAATTTAAAAGAAAAACACCACAAATGAGTCTTTTCCTTTGATATGACTGTCTTGGGTGACCAAGTTTTTTACCTAGTTATGCTGCCATATTTGGAATAAAAAAAAATCTGCTTTCGGAATCAATTTAAAAAGGTAATGAAGAAAAAAAGTCTCGTAACTATATATTCACATTTTATTTCTTGACCATAAATTGTGCTATCCAATTTGATAACCCGTCTTATTCTTTATGTTTAAAACAACATCTGGTTTTTATCTAATTGAAAATCTACTCTTAAGGCATAATTATTTGCCACCATGTAAAATGTTCAAAAGAATGAGTAAGAGATTCGGAAGGCAATTCAAAATATACATCTCTGGAAATAGCAACATCATTTGAATGCATTTTTAGAAGAAACCCTCATTCGAATATTTGAAATTTGGAATGTTTGTTAAAAGATAAGTGTATAGATATACTCTGAATCCTCCACTGACCTCTAGATATAAGGCTCTTTCAATTTTTCAACAAGACAATAATGAGAAAATCAAGCAGGATCTCTCCTAATATTGTTCTCAGACAATAATATTGATAACAACGATTATAAAAGATGAACTTGATTTCTTTCTTTTGTAAAATCTCAATTTTAATTGTATATCCACAGTTTCTTCTTTTCTTAAGTCTTCTCAACTACTAACATCCTGGAAATACTGGTTTCTGAAATTTTAAATATCTTAGTCATTTATTTTAAGTATGTGCTCTACAATCAATACTTACTGTTGTTCCTCATCTAATTCATCATAAATCTACTAATTATGTATATTTTGAGAATGCACATATAAGACAAATTTGTGACACACTCTGACCCACAGATAGATTAGCACTTACTTTAGAAAGTATAAAATGAACAAATATCACACAATACATAAATTTATATTTTTATTATTTATTTCTTAATGATCTACCTTTATAATTTATTCATTGTATATATGAATCTCCTTGGTACATACATCTCTGAAAGTCAAATCTTTCAGATTATTTAGAAAAAATAAAGATTAGATGAAAAAATGTGAATCAATGTGCATTTTATATTGTCGGTGTTATACGTCTTATGTTTTCTTTTGTCTTTGAGCTTTCTCAACATTAACTTCCCAAGTCATGAGTGTGTGGAACCAAACATATGTGACAGGATAAATTCAACAGTGTCTCTGTTTTTCAGGTGTATTTTAGTTATCTCTGTAAAATAAAAGTACACTATGATGCTTTACCTAAGCAACTGTGGTATTTACTTCATAAACACATAATTCCATTCATGTGCCACGTATTTGTTTGGTGGATTCGTTTTCTATTGCTCAAATACAAATTTCCACAAAACTAGAACTAAGTCTTTGTATTAGAAGCTCACTGAAAATAATTGAGGGTAACTATCTAGGTTTATTTAATCAATAGTCCCATTTCCTATAAAATTCTAAGACTCTAAAGGATGTCACCTGTTTATGCCAAGCTGATTTCCTATGAGGTTAACAAGTGATTTTTATTCCCACAGAAATATCCCTGAATTGGAAATTCAGAGGATGTCAATTTGACTTGGTAATAGTTTGGTTTGTTTAATGGTGTTTTGCTTATATATATCCTTTGTGATTTTTATTGTCAAAGATGAGTGACAGATAAGACGGTACGGGGTTTGAGCATGTTGGAAGTTTTATTTAAAGTGTGGGCTTTGTCACCTCACTTTTTACAGGAACTATTTAGGACAGCAGGTGACTTATGGAAGAATAAGGGGATGTCTGTTGAAGCCATTGTGAATGGATTTTCCATGTTTTTATTTATTTTCCAGAAAGTTTTTTTCCATATGGCATAACTGGAAGGCTTCTTGTTTCAAACTCCACTAAGAGTTCTCTGTAGTTGGCTCCTACCTTAGTTATCCTACCTTAGTTATTGCCTCCTTCTTCTCAAGGAGGTTTTGAAATGTCTTTGAGTAAATGATCGGGAAGTCTGGTAGCCTTGGGTACTTGTAAATTTTAATAGATTTTATTATTTTCACATAACATATTTTATCATTATTTTAAAGCAGTTATAGTTTTGCAGAAAAATTGCACTGATAGTACAACTAGTTCCTATATACCCCATCTCTCACCACACAGTTTCTCCTATTAACATTTTGCATTAGTGTGATATGTTTGTTACAGTTGTTGAAACAATATTGATACAGTTATTATTAATATAAGTCCATAGTTTACATTAGGGTTCATGCTTTGTTGTACAGTTCTGTGGGTTTTGGCAAATCCATGTCATGTATCCACCATTAAAGTATTAGGCAGAATACTTTTCAAGTTCTTCATGTTTTTTGTTGGCTTGATAGATCTTTTTATATATATATATATATATATATAATGTACACATATATATATATAAAACAAAACAATATCCAGTTTCATGGATGCACCACAGTTTGTTTACCCACTCACCTACTGAAAAACTGCTCACTTCCAATTTTAGCAATTAAAAAGAAAGCTCCTAAAAACATTCCTGTGCAGGTTTTTGTGTGAGTCTAAGCTTTGGATTCCTTGGGGAAATACCCACGAGTACCATTGGTGAATCATATGGTAAACCTCTGTTTACCTTTATAAGAAACTGCAAACTGCCGTGCAAAGTGGCTGTACTATTTTGACTCCCAACCAGCAATCATTGAGAGTTCCTGTTGCTCCGTATCCTCACCAGCATTGTCAACATTGTGTACTTTAGCTTTTCTATTATGTGTGTAGTGATGTTTTCCTGTTGTTTTTTGATTTGTAATTCCCTAATGACAAATGAGGTTGACCATATTTTTTTCATATGCTTATTTGCCATCTGTATGTATTCTTTGATGAGTTGCCCTGGTTATACCTTTTTAAAAAAGCTTTATAATGTGAACATTATATAAAATTATCCTAGCTCTCCTCCTACCACAAATAAGTGAGCTTTTGGAGCATTGAACCTTCTATTTTAGGGAAAGGGCATATGTTTCCATTTGAAAGAAGCGAAGCAGTGGTTTGGAGATCACAAGGCAGACTACAGCTGAAAAGGGCTATCTTGATACTATATTTTCTCTTTCTTCTTAACACAGACTAGGCTAAATTTGTTTCCCTTCTCACAGTTAGATGTAGACTTTGACTGTGTTCTAATCAATAAAAATGAGTGAAGGCAATGTAATACTTTTTTAGGCCTAACCTACAAGAAACTTACACAGATGATTTTCTTTTTTCTACTTGTGTCGGATGGTTATTGGTCACCTTTGGAATTAAATATTGAGGATACCAGATCCTTCATCAGCCTGGGGTTCTGGCTGACTATATGAAACAATACAGTGTCAGGACCACCACCACCACACCAATCACACTCAGTGATTGCACCGATGTGAGCAAGAAGTAAACTTCCATTGCTTAAATGACTGAGACTTCAAGGTTTATTTGTTATAGTCTCTAGAGATACCTTAATTGATATAATAATGAAATCCATACTCTCACACCTACAAAGGCCTAGATGCCACTTCAAAGTATATTCAGAGGAAATTGGTCTAATAAACAAATTTAATCGCATATATGAAATTTATATTTATATGAAAAGTCTCATTTGTTTGCATGTTTAAATTTGCTTTGATAATTTTAAGGGAATTAGCATCCATAAGGCATGAATGGACTTGAAAAAAGCAAGTAAATTGGTGAAGGATTTGGTCAAACACTCGTGTGTCAACTAAGGTCATTATTTTCATTAAAGTAATAAAACTGGCTGAAGCCTCTTACACACATCCACATGCATACATACACATTATTACTCAAGGTTTCTCTGAATATGGCTGACTTCACAGAAGGTTTAGTAAAATAATGACATCATACAAAAACTAGCAACTCAAATTTAAATAATAAGCATATCTATCTGTTAAGCAAACTCCGCCATCCTGACACTGAGAATTTTTACTGCCTTGTTCTTATGCCAAAGATAGCCTCATCCTCTCTTCATCTCGAGTCTTCTTTTGTTCTTCTCTTTTTCTCTGTATTCCTTTTGATTCTAAAGAAATTTAGACTTTCCTTTGTTGTTTTCTCTTTTTATATATATATATACTCATAGAGTATTAAACTCTCTTCATAAGCAAGACACTTTTTTCTTGCAGGAAAAATTATTTGTAATGCTAAAAGTAATTAATTTATATTATTAAATGTTACAGTTACAAAAAGTTATCTGCCTTTCCAGTTGCACACATTGAAATAGCACACTATTTTAAAATTTTCTGTTTACTCTTTCTGTTGAATACTAATGAAACACATAATTGCATACTAAATGCACTATTTAAGTTTTATTCTTCACTTCTTGAGGTTAGACTTAAAAAACCGTAACAAATTTTTTTTGAAGACATGGAGCTTTGCCTGTAAGTGGCAATAGTTTAAATAATTTATTTAAAAAGTCAGTCTTTCGGCCGGGCACGGTGGCTCACGCCTGTAATCCCAGCACTTTGGGAGGCCGAGGCGGGCGGATCACGAGGTCTGGAGATCGAGACCATCTTGGCTAACACAGTGAAACCCCGTCTCTACTAAAAAAGTAAAACAAACAAACAAACAAAAATTATCCGGGCGAAGTAGCGGGCGCCTGTAGTCCCAGCTACTCGGGAGGCTGAGGCAGGAGAATGGCGTGAACCCGGGAGGCAGAGCTTGCAGTGAGCCGAGATCGCAGCACTGCACTGCAGCCTGGGCGACAGAGCCAGACTCTGCCTCAAAAAAAAAAAAAAAAAAAAAAAAGTCAGTCTTTCATTTTAGTGTAAAAGTACATCTAAGGAACAGTGAAACTTTGTAAACTGTTTACATCTTACACGTTTCCTTGTTGGGAAATGTCAAGGTAGAGTTAAGATATTTAAGATCGAGTGAGAAAGTACAAAGATGAATGAGGATATCATATAATGTAATGACAGCAGACTTCAGCCTCACCAGCATTCACTTTTGTGTTAACATTCTTAGGATTTCAACAGAGCCTCTTATTGTCATGTGGTGCATGATGCTCACTCATAGGTACCAACTGAAAATAGTTATTTTTCAAATCCTATATGTGTAAGCTTGTGAGGCTTCAGATTTTTTTTCATGTTGTTCTAAAATCTTGGCAACAGTGAAAAATGTTCAAAACTCTCCAATAAAGTGACTGATAGCAACTTCTATGCCAAATTTTAGTCATAAAAATGCTCTATTTGATATAGCGTACACATCATTAGACAAGAACCTACAGGTTTTATATTATACGGCTGGGAGCAAAGGAATAGCAATGGATGGTTAAGGAGAAGTACAAAAAAAAAAAGTGTCTCCTCAGCCTAATTTTTTCCTCCATATCCTGCACAGGAAACAGAAATTTCCACCATTTGTATTATTCCCTAAGATTAAGATGGTGACTTCACAGGAAATTTCTAAAAGGGTAACCCATGAATCCTCCTGAATTTTTTTTCTCAGATAATACACCCCTGAAAGCTATATTTTAATGCTGACTGTAAGGTGGGGCACAGAAAGCCTAAGACATGAAAGGAATGTTAGATGTCTGAGAGAAGAGAGCAGGTGGGGTTGTTTATAGACAGTCTGGCCATCTAAGAGGGAGTGAAAAATAAAGAGCAAATAGAGGATGAAAGCAGGGGCACTTATTTATAAAGTCATAGCAATTTGGGATAGCATTTTCCTATCACAGTTATCTGAAACTTTTTTTCCTATCACAGATTTGTTACAGATTGCAGATAAGTTGTTTATAAATCCAAAATCATGCATAGGTAATCTATTTGAATAAGAAATTTATCAGATTTGGTAGAAAGAAGGCAAACATATAAACATAAATTAGCTATGTATATTTTAGGAAAAAATAGTAAAGTTGTAAAATTATATATTATACTAAATCCCCCAGAAAATGTCGAATACAAAATAACAATTCTAATGCCCCCAAAATACGTGAACTCTACACAAATAAAAGCATTATTAAAGAAATTTGAACGTACCTAAATAAATTGAAGAAAAGTCATTTTTGTCAGCTTCACTCCCTATGCAACCGCTTTTCTTTAACTTTTTAATGCACATTAATTCTTAAAATGACGTCACTTCCCGCAACTCCTTCTTAGAGGATGGCCCTCAGGCTGCCAGAGCTCAATGTAAATGGGTATAAGGAGAACCACAGTGTGTGAAATCAAATCCATTGGGCAGCTCCTCCCAAAGGCTGATTGGATCGGGCATAAAAATACTCCAGTTATCTTTGACTCATTATCTCTGATGTGTCTTCCATACACTCCAGAGCTTTCCTATGAGATTGAGCCAAATAAGTTTCATGGGAATTCCAAGGAAATTTACTTGATACCGACTTTTTGTTTGAATTCCTTCTAATAAACGAGGACTTAGTAACAAAAGCTTAAAGAGATTAATGGAATTACATCAGACTAAAAGCTTCTGCCCAGCCAAAGAAACAATCAACAACAAAATAAAGAAATAGCCTATGGAATAGGAGAAAATATTAGCAAAATTTTTATCTTCTAAGGGGTTCACACCCAAAATATATAAGGTACTCCAACAACTCAATAGAAAGAAAACAAAGAACTTGAAAGTAGTCAAAGAATCTGAACAGATATTTCTCAACAAAAGACATTCAAATGGCCAAAAGGTATATGAAAAAATGCTCAATAGCACTAATTTTCAGGTAAATGCAAATTAAAACCACAGTTTATCACATCACCACCTGTTAGAATAGCTATTATCAAATATAAAAAAGATAAATGTTGGTGAGAAAAAGGAAACCCTTGTGCATTGTTGGTGAAAATGTAAATTAGTACAGTCATTATGAAAAACAGTATGGAGGTTCTTTCATGAAATTAAAAATAGAATAATCTTATGATCTAGCAATTCCATTACTAAGTACATATCCAAAGGAAATGAAGTCAGTATGAAAAACATATCTACATACCATTTTTATTGCAGCACTATTCACAATAGCCAATATATAGATGCAACTTACGTGTCCATGCATGGATGAACGGATAAAGCAAACGTGGTATATATACGTAATGAAAAACTATTTCACCTTTAAAAATAAGGAAATCTTATCATTTTTGATGATAAGGATGAACCTGGAGTACATTACGTTAAGTGAAATAAGCCAGGCACAGGAAGACAACTACTGCATTACCTTTGAATGTGGCATCTAAGAGTTGAACTCAACTAATTGTATGTGGAATCTAAGAGCTGAACTCATAGAAGCAGAGTAGAATTGTAGTTTCCAGGGCCTGGAAAGACAGGAGGTGTTGGGGAGATGTTGGCCCAAGGATATGCAATTTCAGTTAGATAAAGAGGAGTAAGTTCAAGAGATGTATTGTACGATATGGTGACTGTGTCAATGACAATGTATTCTTGAAAATTGCTAAGAAAGTAGATTTTAGTTACATACGTATACATGTGCCATGCTGGTGTGCTGCACCCACTAACTCGTCATCTAGCATTAGGTATATCTCCCATTGCTATCCCCCCCTCTGCTTGTGCACATGTACCCTAAAACTTAAAGTATAATAATAAAAATAAATAAATTAATTAATTAATTAATTAATTAAATTCATCAAACCGTAAAAAAAAAAAAAAAAGAAAGTAGATTTTAAGGCTGGGCACGGTGGCTCATGCCTGTAATCCCAGCACTTTGGGAGGCTGAGGCAGGTGGATCACGAGGTCAGGAGATTGAGACCATCCTGGCTAACACAGTGAAACCCCATCTCTACTAAAAAATATACAAAAAATAAAATTAGCCAGGTGTGGTGGCAGGTGCGTGTAGTCCCAGCTACTAGGGAGGCTGAGGCAGGAGAATGGCGTGAACCCGGGAGAGGGAGCTTGCAGTGAGCCGAGATTGCACCACTGCACTCTGGCCTGGGCGACAGAGCAAGACTCCATCTCAAAAAAAAATCAAAAACAAAAAGGTAGATTTTAAGCATTCTCACTACAAAAAATGATAAATATATGAGATAATACATATGTTAATTCACTCAAATTAGCCATTTAATAATGTATACATATTTTAAAACAACCTGTTGTGCAGGAAATACATATATATACAACTTTTGTTAATTAAAAGATAAATAAAATACTAAAATTGATAATAATTACCTTCTGATTATGACAATTATATTCCTTCATTTTTAAGCCTTATATATTTTACTTTTCTGATTTAGTTCATTAGCCAGAACTTCTAGCACCATGTTGAACAGAAATGGTGACAGTGGGCATCTTTATATAATTCCGAAACCAGGGAGGTATCTCTCAATAACCTAAGGTATGCTTTAAAAAATGTTTATTTTATTTACATCTGTGGCAATGCTTCTTGCCTTAAACTATTCCTATCTAACATCTGGATAGTGACATCAAATTTTGTTTAATTTATATTTTCATGTTATTACTGTTTCTACCCATGACTGTCATTACTTCTGTGCCATTTTTAAAGTGTGTCTTCTTAAAGCAGCATATGCATGATTTGTGCATGTGTGTGTGCGCGCGCGCGTGTGTGTGTAATCTGAAAGTTCCCTTTTTAGGTAGCAGTGTATTTGTATTAATTATATTAAAACTTACATTCTCTTTTACTGTATGTTTTATATATTTAAGGTTTCTTTTTTATGTTTCTTTTTCCCTATCTTATTTTGTCTTCCGGCAGATTAATCAAATAACTTTTTAAAAATTCTGTCTCTTGACATGCCTACAAACTGTAAATCAGATGGCATATGTTGTGTTCAAAACATTTGTAGGTGGTATCATGTTTTCCCAGGAGCTTTCACCTTTTTACCAGTTAAAGAGGGGTCTGATCACTTAGTTTGCAGTCTTGGTAATGTGTTTACTTTATTCCTCCCACAAGGTGCATTACTGCAGTGTTTCCAGATGACTACCCAGCACACTCTCTTGGGTCTATTGCACTGATAGGACCTGAACTCTAATTTTTGTCTGCTCACCAGAAAGAAAGCAAAAATCTCACTCTAATTTTCAGAACACTTTTTGTTTAGCTTTATTATTATTATTATTATACTTTAAGTTATGGGGTACATGTGCAGAACGTGCAGGTTTGTTACATAGGTATACAGGTTCCATGGTGGTTTGCTGCACCCATCAACCCGTCATCTACATTAGGTATTTCTCCTGATGCTATCCCTCCTTCAGCGCCCCCGAACCCTCGACAGGCCCCGGTGTGTGATATTTTCCCATTTAACATAGCTTTTTTCTTTTTTTTCTGAGACGGAGTCTCGCTCTGTCACCCAGGCTGGAGTGCGGTGGCGCGATCTCGGCTCACTGCAAGCTCCGCCTCCCGGGTTCACGCCTTTCTCCTGCCTCAGCCTCCCGAGTAGCTGGGACTACAGGCACCCGCCACCACGCCCGGCTAATTACGTTTCTTGAGAGGAATGCTAGCGTCCATGAAATTCAATCTTCATACCATTGCTCCTCACATTCTCCCAGAGGTATTGTCCACTTGAGGCTCTGACTTTGTCTCACCATCTCAATGAGACCACAATTTCAGAAACATTAATCTTCTCAAGTTTCTCTCTCTGTCTTTTTAACTTATCAAGATGTGGGGTACCGAATTTCCCTGGTTCCTGGAGACTTTCCTGGTACTACCACTGAAAGTCCTATGTCCTCAGAAACTACATAGTTTTGGACAAACTAGGATGGGTGTTCTCCCTTCTAGCAAGTAACTATTTGGCCAGTAATAATGAATAATTTTTATTTGACTTTAAATTCTGTCATTTAAATAGATACAGATGGCTCTAAAGGCACAATGAAATTTCCACAAAATAATTTACATAAAAATCCGAGTTATTAAGAATCTGTTTCAAACACTAAGAAATTAGGCTGAAGAGGATTACAGAAAAGGCAAATGGATTAGCACAGTAAGTAGAAATAGAGGATAGAGTTGAAACTGATAAGGTTCCATTGAGGAAAATACATATACTAAATGGCAGAAACAATTTAAATAGCAAATTGAGCTTTCCTGATCTGAAAGTTACATAAACACAGGTGGTATATTAGTTTGCTAGGGCTCCAGTAATAAAATACCACAGATTGGGTAGCTTAAAAGACAGAAATCCATTGTCTCATAGTTGTGGAGGTGTCAGCAGGATTGTTTTCTTTTAAGGGTGTAAGGGAAGGAACTTTTCCAGGTCTTTCTCCTTGGTTTGTAGATGGCCATTTTCTTCCTTTATCTCTTCATATCATCTTCCTTGTATACGTGACTATCTCTGTGTCCCAATTTCCCCTTTTACGAGGATATCAGTCACCCTGAATTAGGGTCCAACCTTAGTGATCTCATCTTAACTTAGCTAATTGCATCTGCATGTATTTCTAGGTAAGTTCACATCCTGATGTGCTGGGGAGTAGAATTTAAATACATGAATTTTGGGATAAAAGAATTCAACCTCTAATAGGGGGCAATTCAATAAGTGAACTGTAAGAAAGGAGGGGAGCAGCAGTGTGCTAGGAAAAAGGTAGAATTTGGGGGCTCTATTACAACAAATCTTCTTTGTCAGACACAGACGTGAATTACCTGTGTACTCATTTCTACAAAGTTGAAAGTATATAAAGTGTTATTTAACCAGCTCATCTATTTAAACATGTTTGTCACAAATGTTTATATCAGCACAGACCACAGAAGGATATGACCCATAAAGACTGATAGAAAAGTTCGCTTTTTCTAGATCATGAGAAATTGTGTCTACGTAACTGCTTATCTCTTAATACTATAGTTGCTATTTTAAATTAATAAACTTTGAAACCATTAAAATATTTATTTAGCTTTTAAATTTTAAAATTATATTTTATAGGATAATGTTAAATTTCTAGACAGAGTTTTAAAATAGTTTAAAGAGCTATGATGTATTATCTTATATGAAATGAAAAAGATTATACAAAATTGTTATTTACAAAATATTCAGTTTGACTCTAATTTTTCAGCTCAAAAAACACAATATTATTTAGTAAGTAAAAGGGAACATTTGGTCATTATTTACCTTAAAGCTAATTTATTCAAAATTATTACAAATATCTACCTACCCTTCAATTTGTTAACATAAGAAATATATTTCTTGAACAAAAATTTATAAAACTTCTTTCAGTTTGCTAAATGCAGTTTTAAATTTAACAATGGCAGTAAAAATGTACAACTATTTACATTTTTAAATATGAGGAAATGGTTTCCAGTTTTATGAAGAGAGAAGACAACGTTTATACAACCTTTAGGTTTTTTCTCCTCTAGAAGCATCCTTGATTAGATTTTACTAATCAGAACCATCCACTCATCTTGAGAAACTGTATGTGTCATTTGACCTTCTCCATAAATTTCAGGCACTTAAGTTGAAATCCATTAACACTCCTTTTCTGTACTGACTGCCAAATTTGCTATCATACCATATGTCCAGCATACAATTTGCATTTCAATTGGGAAATGTAAATGATGCTTTAATGATTTCATGTGCTAAAGTGTAAGGTAAGTGGCGGAAAGGAAAATCAATACACATGCTAGAAAACTTTTATTTGTAATATTATTTCAGTCATGACATTTTGCTAAAGAAAGGCTATGTTCTCTAGAGCTCTTAATGAATAATTTTTGAAAATAAATATTAGATTTAGAAACAATTAGAAGTATGCTATATACTCTTATGAGAGATCAGTTGTTAAGCCATGTTAAATTGAGCATTGACTACACATTTTCTCTAAGATGAGTATTATGATTAGATGATAACTGAAATTTCATGATTTGATGCCTCACATTAAAAAAGTTAACAACACATACTCAAGGTGCGTTTGAAAAATGAAACACATTTTATTAATGCTCATATATATAAATACTATATATTTATGAAAAATCTAACACATTCCACAAAAGTACTAAACAACCCAGAATTATGAGTTATATTTCTGTTAAAATGACAAATATTCCTTGAGAAAATCAAATGCTGATAATTCAGTTTGTTTTATTAATATTTTAGAGAAAAAATATAATTTTATACATTATTGTAAAATATAATGAAATATTTATATATAAATATAATAATATATAAATATAAATTGATATATATATTTATATATAAATATGCATTTATAAATTAATAGACTTGCTTATGGTGATTGTTTATATGTTAAACTCTCATCTGAAATTAAAAAGCATTGAAAACTAAAACATATACCATAACTCATTAATATATTTCAACTATTTGAACAGAAATATTTCCAGGTCAGCATAAGTCTAACCCAGTAGGGCAATAAGGGAAATACAAAGGAAGATAACTATAAGAAATAATATTTGAAATACTCATATTTATGATTTCTACTTTGATATGGTAAATGGTCTATAGAGTACGAGGCCAAAAAAAGCATGAAATAATAATGACAATGATAATGCTACCCTGAAAGAACATGCTTTTTATTTCTTGGGCCTAATAGTTTGATCTACATTTTCAATGAAATTACTAGTAGAAAAGTTTTAAAATTTAGTCGATATGAATATAATCTGTCACAGCCTCTTTTTATTAAGGTGGAAACTGAAGTGCACCAAGATTAAGTGACATGCCTGTTGCTTCACAGAGGCCAAAAAGGAATCAAAACCTAGGTCATCTGATTGGCAAGTGAGGAAGTACTAGTAACATGCCTTTCTCTAAAGGCACGTAAAGCTCACTAGGTGTCAACCTGTGTGTATCACCAAGAACAGGATATGTTTTAGATCTTAATTAATAGCAAATACAATTTAATCTCATTACAAGTAAGTAAATCTAAATATTTATGATAAAGAAATGTTATCTCTAGCTACTTCTCTTCCTCTTTTAAATTGTTTTCTTTCTTTTCTTAAAAAATAATAGATTCTACTATCATTTCAACCCAGGTTAAGTCTGGGATGTAGTTACCAAGATGGCAACTCCATTCCCAGACTCAGTAACCGTGAAATGCAGTTTTATAACTCTGTTGCATCTCAAGAAGAATGAGTGACAGTGTTGTGTGTGACTTCCTCACTGACTCCTCAGTGACAAAGCCCATTGCCCCCTAGCCCTGGGCTTGCTTTTTCTCCCCTTTCTTTTTAGCTGAAAATGGTAGTGGTCTGAAAGCAAGTTATGGATGGCAATCAAGTATTCCTTCTGTGATTGCAATTTTTTATAGTGTGGCAGGTAAAGACTAGTTTTCAAACCTGTGATAAACATTCACACTTACTAGTAATGGAATCCAATCAAATCATTTAAAGAACATGGAATTTAAACTGGGTAAAGGAGAGCTTGTATATAAATACCGAATTTGGTTTCTTCCCTGCCAGTTGCTAAGAAAAAAACACATGATGAAACACATGCTATTAAAATTCCCGGCCGGGCGCGGGGGCTCACGCCTGTAATCTCAGCACTTTGGGAGGCCAAGGCGGGTGAATCACGAGGTCAGGAGATCGAGACCATCCTGGCTAACACTATGAAAACCTGTCTCTAGTAAAAATACAAAAAAATTAGCCGAGTGTGGTGGCGGGCGCCTGCAGTCCCAGCTACTCGGGAGGCTGAGGCAGGAGAACTGCGTGAACGCGGGAGGCGGAGCCTGCAGTGAGCCGAGATCGCGCCACTGCACTCCAGCCTGGGCCACAGCGAGACTCCGTCTCAAAAAAAAAAAAAAAAAAAATTCCCACATAAACTAAAGTCAATTTTACATTGACTTGTCTTTTTGTGTAAATTCTCATGATAGATTTATTCACAAAAGGCCTATTTAAACATATATGTATATTAACTGAAGTTACTTTTTGGAGTGGAGGAAACATTAGCAGTTTTTTTGCCAAGAAAAGGGTAGAATAAGTATATTCGATAAGAAGAATGAAAGGATCAGAAAAGTTATGACCCAGTCTCTGGCCAGAAAGAAATTAATGCAATCATGTAACCCTATATAACATTAGGAAGTATTCAAAAAATTACCCTTTTAGGGTTTAATATATGTCAAGCACAATTCTAAGTTATAAATTAACTCATTTAATTTGTATGATATGCCGATCATTTAATAATCATAATAATATTTGTTTATGGACAAGGATATTATTGTCCAAGGTCTGAACCTAACCCATATTGGTACAGGGATTCAAGCTCAGTCTAACTTCAGATTGCCTATTTTTAACCATCTTCAGCTTGCCTATTTTTAACTATTAACACTATCCTAACCAGCCTTCCATAATGTTATGAGGTGTCTGAGAAATTGGTAATTGTGTGTCTTTGGTTGGGAAATCAAAGGGAAACAGTTTTTCGGAGAACAAGTTTACCAAAGAAAATATGTCTGTATTCATACCATTTAGAACAATGCTTTACATATAAAATGCTGATGATTTAATCATACTAATTTTGTCTAGGGCTCCTCTTGCTTGATGAATCACAGGAATAATTCTGGAAATCAAATATTTGAAATAAAAAGAGAAAAAATATATGCTGTTCATCCAGAGGATAACCAGTAAATATTTGTATTTTGGAAATGTAATACAACAGAGACAATGATTTTTTTAACACCTACTATAAGTCGTTTTACTCATGCTTTTACATTCACCCAAAAACCCCAAAAATGAGCCTCTACCCTCAAGGAAAAGTATAATCTAATGGAAGAGGCACAAAGTACAAAATAATAAAGGAGCATTAACATAGGGTGTTTGGGGATGAGTAGGTAAATACTGAATGCGAAAGGAGTGAGGCAGCAGCCAGTACTATTTCCAAATTGCACAATGGGAACTTCAGTTTGGACAGGTCACTTTGTAAGCCCTGTTCCTATCCCTTCCAACATTAGAAAGTCTTATCCTGACCAAAGGCAGCTAAACAGTCTCCATTGAAGAACACATGTCTAATTGTCTCTTAGTAGCAAGAACAATGGCAGAGAAGAATATCTCAGTATGATCAATTAAATTCAATTAATATATCTTGCTAAAATATCTTAACAAATGAAGGTAGTTTCAGGGAAGTAGCCCAGTGCTGCATGGAACCAGTTAGATGGTGAACCAACATCACACAGAAAGACGCCCTGAGCCTGGCCCATTCTCTATGTGTAGCCGAATCACTAAGTTTATACCCCATCCATGAGCAAGACCTTTCTGCTGAGATTTAAAATAGAAAGAAAAGCACTCAGTAAATGTCTCAGTTTAATCAGTGATACTTTAGAAAGCCAGCCAACAAGCATACCCATCATCCATCTGGGCAAAAGGCTTTATCAGCTTTTAGACATTAAATGACTCACTCGCAAAGCTTTTTCCAGACTAATGGTGGCTCTAATTTCTCTATTAGATGGACCAGAATATTACGGAGGCAAATCTTTGCTATTATGCTCCCAGAGAATGAACTCCCCCAAAGCATAGATGAGTATAATAGCTGATAAAACCTTGAAAAATGCAAGTTTAAAATTGTGTTTATCTGCACCACGCCATCTGTATCCACTAACAGCTTGAACAAGAAGGATTTGTTCCTTAAACATTATTAGTTTTGCTAAAAATTGTCCTTGTTTTTTTGCTACCGTGAGGAAATAAATGGCATTGTGAAAATGAAACCACACTTATTATAACCTAACCTATGGACCACTTTTTCAAAAGCAATTTTGTCATTTGACATTGTATTCCTCCCGGTGAGAATAAATAGAAATATGCATGGTTTTTTTTTCCCTTTTCAAGTTTAACTTGCCCTTTATGTGAGTTTTCCTTTCACATTCTTTTTTGTCAAATTATTGAACACCTAACTGGTTTATATTATTATCTCCCTAAACATCTCATGAACTTATCTCTCAAAGTTAATATTGTACTATTTTGTTAATCTATTGTGTTAGAAGTCAAGAAGGTGTTTTCCCTTGGGAGATACTGAATAGAAGACGGTTGAGGGGACTTCTAGGTGTTGGTAATATTCTACTTTTTGGTGATGAGAGAGACACACCTGGTCCCAGGAATTGCTGTGGCTCCAGGTGACAGGTTATCGACTGCAAGATACTGGAGTGGGGCCATCCAGGACCAATTGGCCCAAGCTGACTTGGAAACTGCTTACAGATATGTGAGCTAATCGTCTGGACCAGTTTATACTAGAAAATCTACTCTTTAGAATCATGAGGTATGAACAAGCCAGTTCAACAGTGAGCTCCTGAGCAGACTGCCCACTGATAAAGTCCAGTGGTAGACAGAAATAATTAGGCTTCTTACCCTAGTCTTAGTCAGTGGTTTGGGCTACTCCAAAAAGAATGTGACCTCAACTAAAAAGCATGGGAACTGAAGGAATTAATCACTAGATATAAGAAATTAATCAGACTCCTCCCAGCTAAACAAGAAACATTTTCCTGAGAGGGAATCTAAGCTGTGCCTCTCTAAATCAGATTAAAAGTACATAACCAGAGTCAGAGGGTAGAGAGAAACGGATTGTTGTAGTTATGCCTCCTGATTTGCTCCCACCTATCTGCATCCACCTTTTGGGTAGTATCCTCCCCACTGACTCTGGGCTTTGACCTGTGCCATTTGATCTATAAGAAAATAGTAAATTCATAACAAGATAAGGCTTGAAAAAGCCATACTCATTGGAACTTGCTTTCTTGCTACTCCAAAACCCTGATAACATGGATAATCCCAAGGTAGTCTGCTAAACTCGCTACCCAACAGCCGAGTACCACTGTGGACTAACTACCCAGCAGCCTAGTACCACTGCTGCCCTAGCGCAAAGCTAGCTAAATGCCAGACACTAGATTAAGATCACCTGGAGATGGTCAACACCTCCTCACCCCTCATCCATCCCTTCCCCTTCACCCCTGCTGATCTGCCAACTGATTACAGACACAGGAGCAAGCAATTGGGGTGATTTGCTATGTAGTCATAGCTAACTGACTTGGTAAGGAAAACTCTCAACATACACTTTGGGGATATAACAAATAAGATTTAAATAAATTAAATATGAGGTTAGAGATTATAATAATATAATTATATATAATTACATATAATACCATATGATACGCTATATCATTATAATTAAGAAATAATATCTATAATGTAGAATATGTAATAATGCAATATATTAAAAGTTTTGAAGGTAATCCATGCTAATATTAACAAATAGAAATTCTACAAAGTATTTACTTGTGAGCAGTGGGTATGAAAAGGGACTACAATGTAAGACATTTATTCTTTATTTTATTCACTTTTGTGCAATTGAACATTTGCTTTCTTGAACATGAACCATATTTATAATAGATTTACAGGCAAAAAGAGAATACAATTATCTTCATTTATTTAAATGCAAGGAATACATTAAACATTTGGTTGGAGGATAAGTTAAATAATTTTTAGATGGGTAAGTTAAATAATTTTACTATGTAATTTAAAATATTATTTTATTTTGGAATGAACAGATATATATCTATGGGATAGAACATAAAATCTGCATTAGATTTTACATTTTTATTGATATAAACAAACTGCAAATATTTAAAATGTATTTCATGTGTTAAGACACATGGATATATCCGTGAAACTCTGATCAAAATCACGAGAATCAACATTTCAATTAACCTAAAAAGTTTCTTTTTGTCCGCTTGCAATCAATCTCATTCTCTCCACACCACCTTAGGCAATAACTGACCTGCTTTCTGTAACTATAGTTCTCATTTATACTATTTCATATAAATGGAATCATAGAGATTGTACACATTTTCATTCATTGTTATTATTTTGAAATTTAGCCATGTTGTATAAATCAATATCTTTATTAAGTAGTATTTCATTATATGTGTACCTAAGAATTTTCTTATTCATTCATCTATTTACGGACTCTTGAGGCTTTCCAGCATCTGGTCATTGCTACTGAGGCTATTATAAACATTTGTTTACAAGTCTTTATGTGAACAT
The DNA here is from genome assembly GCF_000001405.40 of Homo sapiens. Lineage (NCBI taxonomy): Eukaryota > Metazoa > Chordata > Mammalia > Primates > Hominidae > Homo > Homo sapiens. The sequence continues at coordinate 81,036,526 of NC_000003.12, forward strand.
ATTATTTGATATCGATAAAGAAGTGCTCATTAATGATCAAAGAACAAAGATTATAAACTGATAGAATGGATCTTAGTTTTTTAGGGACACAGAAAGTAAGCGGTTTTTGTTTGAGCATATGAAATCAGGAGAGGTGGGCTGAGATTAGCTATAATACGAATTTTTGCTGCAATGAAATTAGGTCTTAAACAACTCAGTATCTTAGTGGAATATAACTAGTTGTATTTTACTCATAAAAAATTGATGCAACTAGCAGATTCATGGCAGTTGTTCAATTGCTATCTCCTGTACTTACTACACTTATCTCCAGATTGCAGGTCACGTTCAGTTTGGCTTTATATTCATACTTAAAGCAGCAGCTTTCTAGAGCAACTTTTCTCGTAATGGAGGCCAAAATTCCAAGAGGTCAAGCGTATCCATGCAAGCACATGATTTGCAGGTATTGGGTTGCACTAGGTGTATATTATATTCATTCACTGTCCATTGTCCTAAGGAACACAAGGAGCCAAATCCAACTTGCGTGGGTCACGTGGCAAGAGTGCCATGGAATAATGCTGTTAGCTGAAGTGGTAAAGATAATCTATTACAGGAGTTTGTATAGATTGGGGTCATGGTTGCAGAAGGTCAGGATTGCTATGACAACTTTTAAAATAAGACAACAATGAAATTTACTGCATCAATTTAATCTTCCTTTCATGAAAGTTTTCTTTGTAGTGTGCAATGCTGTTTGACAGCATTATACCCACAGTGGAAGTTTTTTTCCAAAATTGAAACCAATCCTCTCAAATCTTTCCCTTGCTTAATAAACTAAGTTTATATAATATTCTAAATCCTTTATCATTTCAACAATGTTCATAGTATCTTCACCAGGAGTAGATCCTGTCTCAAAAAAACCATGTTCTTTCCTCCTCCATAAGTAGCTAGTCCTCATTCATCAAAGTTTTATCATGAGGTTATAGCAATTCAGTCACATCTTTAGGCTTCATTTCTAATTACAGTTCTCTTGCTATTTCCACTACATCTGCAGTTACTTCCCCCAATAAAGTCTTGAACCCCCCAAAGTCATCCATGAGAGTTGAAATAAACTTCTTCCAAACTCCTGTTGTTGATGTTTTGTTTTTTTCTCCCATGAATCACAAATGTTCTTAATGACATCTGGGATGGTAAATCCTTTCCAGAAGGTTTTTAATTTATTTTGCACAGATACATCAGAGGATTTCTATCTATGGCAGCTATGACCTTATGAAATGTACTTCTTAATAAGACTTGAAAATAAAAATGACTCCTTGATCCACGGGCCACAGAATGGATGTTGTGATAGCAAGCATAAATATAACATTAATCTCTTTGCACGTCTTCATCAGAGCTCTTGGGTGAACAGATGCATTGTCAATGTAGTATTTTGAAAGGAATTTTTTTTCCTGAGCATTAAGTCTCAAAATATGGCTAAAATATTCAGTAAACCATGGTGTAAAAGTATGTGCTGACATCTAGGTTTTGTTTTTTTTCATTGATAGAGCACAAGCAGAATGGATTTATGGCATAATTGTCAGGGGCCCCAAGATTTTCAGATTGGTAATGAGCATTGGCTTTAACTTAAAGTCACCAGCTATATTAGCCCCTGACAAGAGAATCATACAGATTATCTTTTGAAGCTGTGAAGCCAGGCACTGACTTCTCCTCTCCAGCTATAAAAGTCCTAGATGGCATCTTTTCCCCACATGATCATGTATAATATTTATTAGTTATTTAGTGTAGTCACGTTCAATTATCTTAGCTCTACATTTTAGCTAACCTGCTACAGCTTCTACAGAATCACTTGCTGCTTTACTTTGCACCTTAATGTTAAGAAGATAACTTAGTTCCTTAAATCTCATGAACCAACATCTGTTAGTTTCCAACCTTTATTCTTCAGCTTCTTTACCTCTCAGTGTTCATAGAATTGAAGAGAGTTAGGGCTTTGCTCTGGGTTAGGCTTGGCTTAAGGGAATGTTGTGACTGGTTTGATCTTCCATCCAGATTACTGAAAACTTATCCATATCAGCAATAAGTCTGATTAGCATTCTTATTATTTGTGTTCATAGGAGTAACACTTTTAAATATTTTTAAGAATTTTTTCTTTGCATTTACAACTTGATTAACTGCTTGGCACAAGGGGCCTAGCTTTTAGCTTGTCTTGGCTTTCAACATCTCAACATGCCATCCTCACTAAGCTTAATCTTTTCTAGTTTTTAATTTAAGGTGAGAGCCGTGCTAAACGTCCTTTCATTTGACTACTTAGAGGCCATTGTCGGCTTATTAACTGGCCTAATTTCAATATTCTTATGTCTCAGAGAATAGGTAGGCCTGAAGAGAAAATAGGAGAGGAGGAAAAGCCAGTTGGTGAAACAGTCAGAACACATACAACATTTATTGACAAAGATTGCAGTCTAAGATGGGTGTGGTTTGTGGTGTCCAAACCAATTACAATATTAACAACAGAGATCACTGAACATGGATTACCATAACAGATATGATAATAATGAAAAAGTTTGATATCTTATAATAATTATCAAAATAAGACAAAATGATAAGAAGTGAGAACAAGCTGTTAGAAAAATGGCATCCAGAGACTTGCTCAATGCAGAGTTGCAACACACCTTCAATTTGTATAAAACGCTATATCTGTGAAGCCCAATAAAGCAAATCACAAGAAAATGAGGTATACTTGTGTAGGGAAAAAGCCTGTTGCATGGCAAGAGTGACACCATTTTGAAGCAAAACCACCATGTTGACCCCTGCATACCAAGGTGTTCTGCAGCTAGGTCTTAAAGAATTGGAAACACAACTAACCCCTCAAGAAGGTGCTTATCTAACCTCCCAGTGGTCACGAGTTTCAGAAAGAAAGTCTGAGACATGACCAGCTGCACATATTTTATTCTAAAACTGTGTTGTATACAGGATACTTTCTGGAGAACAAGTGTGAGGAGCTAGTGTCTTGCAGCTGCCACAGCTATTGCTTCTGTTTATAAAGTCCCTATTAAATATTTTCTTTCTAAAAAACCAGATTTTTCAGCCTCTTCTGTGGGGCTCTCAGCTCTCCTGGCTTTTGGTGTTAGGTTTGTGTGTACCTGCTCAATGTGAAACAACTTGCCATTGTTTTTCCTTTTTCTTCTTCTGTTGAATTTTCTGTACGCTTTTGCTCCTTCCAGAAGATCAGTGAAGTGGCTGTGTGTGTATATCTAGTAAACACATACTGTTTTCACTTGCTTCCTCAAGCTCTAGCTCTCGGTAGATCACTAGAGATAGTGACATAGTAGAAAGACACTCCAGCTGGAGTCACCTCGCAATGACTGGATTGGGTTCCCCACTCCCCGTGGGCAGGTAAGGCCTCAGAGAGGAATGAGGAGAGTATTAAAGACCAATGAGACTATAAAGACCTGCAAAACAAGAAATTGGTCCAAATCCTTCATTTTCTTCCTATTCAGCACAATTCTCTATTTTCAACTTTGCTGAAGGCCTCATCAGTTTGAGTAATGAGCCTAAAAACTAACACAAGATTAATTACTGTAACCCAAGTGTGTTTTAGGCTAGAAGCAGATTTAGATGGATTAAGCACCAATTTTATCACAGGTGATGTAGAGGAGGACAAAATGAGTAGAAAGCAATGTACATAAAGGAAAACTAACATGGGTAACATTTCTTGGTAATTTTTAAAAGTTTTTAATTATTAACACTTAAAATATATATCATTATTTAACAATAAAAAGACTAGGCTTGAAAAAGTCACGTGACCACAAAGTTTATTAAATGGAAGTTTCAGGACTCAAATCCAATTTTACCACTTCACCACCAGAGAATGAAGTGTCTTGCGATTCACCCACTTACCTATGTTGATCAGATTCTAAATGAGCAATAAGAAAATATTTGAAATGAATTAGAGAGAAACTGGGTTTTTTTGTATACAAGCTTTGCATAAGAAGATTCAATAAATATAAATATTTTATAGAATTCACAGAGCAAGTGTTTATGAAATTTTAAAAATTATGTAAATTGCTGAAAATCATTTGGAAGATACCATATTATTCTTAATACAATTATATGGACAAATGTTCTTTTATAAATCATGTTGCATTCCTATGATTACAGTTGTATGTTCTGATTTGTATAGTTACTTATCCTTCTCTGTATCTGTTTAGCTCTACGCATCTTTCCCTCCTTTCCCCTACCCAAACTGAAAGAAAATTTTTCAAAGTTCACAGTTTTGTCTCATTGATTGTTGCACACCACAGCATGATGCCTAATATGAACTGTTAAATTCTGAATTAATGCTCTAACAAGTTAAATAAACCAGAGCCATGAAATACAGTACTTGGGAAGCTCTCAGGTTAGAATGTTTCATTTGCTCTACAGGTTGCTTTTCTCAACACTAGGCAAAGGGTTTTGTTCAAAGTTAAAGTAGCCATAATATAATTGCTTGTTAGAATAAATACATTTACCACTTACTCTTTATGCCAAGAACTTAGAAACTCAATTGTCAAAATAATATTGCTAGTAAAATGGCCAGTAATGACATTTTTGTCATGTTCAAGAACAGTTTTTATCTGTTGAGTTTATCTATTGCAAATACATATAATATAATTTTTCATGGTATAATTCAAAACCTTTCCTTATTTTTTTAAAAAGAAACAGTTATATAGTGCTTACTATGTGCAGGCAATATTCTGAATATACTTATGAATGTTAAATTATTTTCATACCTGTGTAGGATAAAGGTGAAGAAGCAGAAGTATGCAAGGAGAGCCTAGAGACTGCAAAGTAAATATGACATCTGTGAAAAGAGAGAGGAAAGGAAGAATAGTTGGACAGAAAGAGTTGCAGATTGAAGCACAGTTCTAAGAAAGATTCAGTGAGGCAAATAGGGAGTCCATGAGCCAAAGTTGTCAGTAAGTGAAGTCCTGAATATTGCAGGGATGGCAGGGCACTAGACCTTCCATCATGGTAAGTCATTAGCTGGAAGCATTCCAGTACAAGCATAGTTCATTACAAATGCAGTGATACGTTCAGAAGGTGACGGCTAGAGATATCATCATGTCTGCTGTTCCTTACAGCAAGTTTTAATAAAAGAAATCTGAGGCCTGGAATTCCATGTCTACCATTCCTCACAGCAAACCTGTAAGTTATTTTTTTACTATAATTCCATTTTACATATGAGAAAATGGAGAATTAGAGATTAAATAAATTGCCCAAGACCATATCTTATTGTTCAATCAAGCTAAATAAATTTTCTTTGTTTGTGGAGTGATTGTTTTTTATGTTTTTTGACAAAATCTCACAAATCTACATGTGATTTGTTAATTAAGTAACTAATGATAAAATTATCAGGTAATTCTACCATTCTAGGTGTAAATGTTTAGAGAATATTCAGCTTCCATGCGATATGTTTTTAGACTCCCTCTCAGTAGAAATTGCACTAAGCAACAAGGAATTGGGGAAGTACAAAGTTAGTGATATCATTAGAAGCTGTATGAAATAGCAAATAAAAATCCTAAAGAAACTCAGAGAAATTAAAATTTACTTCCTTTTTTATTGATTTTTCATCTTCCCTTTTATATCAAGGTAATATTGGCAATTCATTAGGTAAAGGAAGAGCTCATATGCTTGAGAACTTCCTTTATATTAAGGGTGAAAGTTTCCCATTGTTCCTAAAATAAATATATTGAGTTTTCTCTCCAGGTCAATATTCTGTGATGTATATGTTCATTTTTATTGTTTTCAAATTATACTTCCTCAAACTGTGTGACTACTCTTCACCACCGGAAAACACAGTGACCAAGATGCTATGCACACGGCAAACTATCAGACAGGGCTCTCATCTCCCATCAAACATTTGTCTTAATTCTCTAGGTCTTTGGTTTCTCATCTATACATAAGGAAAGCTAACCTCTACCCAAAATGAAAAACAAAATCATCATTAAAGTCACCCTAGAAGCTATTTTTAAAAAATCAGGTGTCTCAGCCCAAATGTAAAGAACCAGAATATATAGGCTAGTATGAGCCTGGGGAATTTTCTAAAACTGTACAATGATGAACCAGGTTTAGGTATCACTGAACTATATAACCTGTAGTTATTACATTCTTTTTAAAAATCTCTCTACTTACCTAATGTGAATATTTTAAAATTCCTTTGCATGCAAAATCAATTGAATTTGTACATCCAATTAAATTTTTTATGAGTTTTTTGCCTTATACTATGTGAGTAACAAGAGCACTAAAATATACTATAACTATCATATTTGATTTTTAGCCAAATATTATATAAAATATAATATTCTAAGATATCATGTAAATTGGAAACATAAACCATCTTTTATAAAGGCTAATAAAGCTTTTGTATAAAAATTTAAAATATGTTATCTTTAATGATATGTTAATCTATTACCAGTAGAAATACTTAACATTTATTAAAGATAAAATTTCACACAATGACTTGAGTGCAATAAGTTTTCAAGTGGGAATTCTTTGTGCATTTGGAAATACAGCCCTCTACCACTATACACTTTAAAATTTCAATTGAATGATGTTTTTAATTTGTTTCTCTATTCTCATATATCATCAGTAGATTACCACTTCACGTTACAATTACTCACAGTGCTTATCTGTAAATGAAATTTGAAAACATGATGGGTACATAATGCACTGCCAGCATAAGCAGAAACACTGCTCCAATCACACCTTATGTCAACATGTTCATCCTTAATAATAGAAAAATGCACCTTCAAGGAAATAATTTGATTAAACCTTATCAGAACAACTAACATTTCCTATTTTAATGTAACATTTCAAACACTCCAAATCTTACAAGCTGTTCTACATGGCAGTGAAGCACATCACGGCAACATTTTTCAACACACATAAACAAGACACCGGCTTCTGTGCTGTCTTTGTTTCTGTCTCCATGAAACGTTGCAGGTGTGATGAAATGAACATTCCTGAAGTGTTTTGTTGTTGTTTTGAAACTCATACAATCACAAAAGTCTCTCAAGCAGTTGCATTAGATAGGTTAATTCAAGTATATTGAATAACTTGCATCTGCTTCCTGCTACTGCCATCACCAGCTCCCCAAATATGTATCCCCGGACGTTATTTTTATTCAAAGCTTATCACTCTCTTAGAGAACGGTCATCAGAAACACCTCTATGTGCTAATTATTTGATCGTATGCTCTATTTAATTCTGAAATCAGGGAGAAGTCTGGAATTAATTAAAGACTTTTAAAAAGACATGAAGTAACAAAAGTTATGTCATCATTCCAGGGATCATGAAGAAAAATATTTTTAGAAACACAATTGAATTATGCATTTATATAATTAAAAGAGTGACTCATGACATTTGGAAAAAATTAAGCAGTAGATATATGTATACAAACACAAAAATTGTTAAGTTATCTTTACCACAGTCCAGCTCCATCTCTTGGGAGCGATCAATATTAACTGCTGAGTGTGCACTCTGCTACACTTTTCCTATGTCCTTTATGTATACATGCAGAGATTTTGAGGCTAATATGTTTATTTTCTCATAAATTACACATTGCCTCATAACCTGTTTTTTTCAGTTAGCTGGACATTTCAAAGGTAAAGAATCTTTTCAAAATGTATTTATAATTTTATTATAAACATATACTATATAATTTTAAATTTCAAATATATTACTTGCCTTATAATTCAAAGAAGCAGTATTCTGCCTAAGCCACACTTTGACTCACATTTCCCATAGGCAACCTGACTTTTAGCTCTTCCAGCATTCATTTATTCACCAAGTACTTATGGAATGCCAGGTGCTATTCTTAGTACATGGATATGAAACACGGCAAAGAATAAAACAGCTAGCTTTTCTGCTTTCAGAAACAAAGCATTCAAGGGAGGGAACTCTACCAAAAATGAAACAAAAAAGCTTCAACTAATTAATAAATTATATGTGAATGGTGATTAGGTGATGGAAAATGACAAGGAAGTATTTAATTTATTTTAGATATTTCTTCAAATATTTACTTCTGCATTAAAATGTTTTTACTACTATTTCTTGGTTTTCCAATACTGAACACTGTTTATTGTCTTCCGATTTTGCAAGATGACAAATGATCTAATTTACATTCCCTTCCCCTTTCTTACACACACACACACACACACACACACGTATGTGTGTGTGTGTGTATATATATATATATATATACACACACACACATGCACACATACAATTTTAGGTTAAAACAATATCTATGGTTCATCCTTATGATTACATAATATTATTCACAGAAAATTTTAAATACTTTTTATGATTGTATTTCCTTTATTGAGCAACCTCTCTACTTTTGATATTTAAAATTACCTTATTTTTGCCGGGTGTGGTGGCTCCCGCCTGTAATCCTAGCACTTTGGAAGGCCAAGGCGGGGAGATTACTTGAGCTCAAGAGTTCGAGACTAGCCTGGGCAACACGGTGAAATTCCGTCTCTACTAAAAATACAAAAAATTAGCCGGGCATGCAGTGTGTGCCTGTAATCCCAGCTACTCAGGATGTCGAGGCAGGAGAATTGCTTGAACCCTGGAGGCGGAGGTTGCAGTGAGCCGAGATCCTGCCACTGCACTCCAGCCTGGGTGACAGAGCGAGACTCGGTCTCCAATAAATAAATAAATAAAATAATAAAATTACCTTATTTTTTCCCTCCCTCCCTCCCTCCCTCCCTTTCTTCCTTCCTTCCTTCTTTCCTTCCTTCATTCTTTCCTTCCTTCCTTCTTTCCTTCCTTCCTTCTTTCCTTCCTTCCTCCTCCTCTTCCTCTCTTCTTCATTTAATCTTCCTAGGAATGTTTGCATGGGATATGTGTTACATAGGGCGTCATCAGGAAAACTGAAAGCAATCTAGATTCCAAGCATGCTAAAGCTGGAAGAGCAAAGTTCAAGGTAAAATCAGTTTGTGGCTTCCAGGAGAACTGAAGTGTAAGGAGTTTGTTGCTTAAATAACCAAAATGAGTGATTTGGAGCAATTAGCACAGAATCCACTGCAAACTTGGTTCTCTCTGTCCTCGCATCTGCCCACTGCTCCCATAATAGTACATCAATGGCAGCATCTAACTGAAATTTTACTGGCAAGAGGGTCTAGAAAATCTCATTCACAGTTTTATCCCACAAGATGTATAGGAGAATGTGAAGCGAAAGGGATAGTGTTAAATAACAGACAATGCAAAAAATAAATATAAAAATCTGAGACTTTATGTAACTGTTAATTTATTTACCCAACAAATGATAAAAATTAACAGGGTAAGATTTATGTTGGAAAGATTTCTCTTTCTCACTTTTGCTGTTTTTTAGGATATTCTGTCAATCTCCTAGTTGTTGAAATTTAATAAGGGTAAACTTTGAGGTTGATGTTTTTATTTGTTTTGTTTATTTTCATTTACTGAGTTAGAAACAAATGAGTTTTGCAATCTGGAAATTCATGCTTTTCAGTTTTAATACATTTTCTTATGCAGTAGTCCCCTTTTGATGGTTTCAGTTTCCTGAGGTCAACTGAAGTCTGAAAATACTAACTGAAAAATTCCAAAAATAAATGATTTGTAAGTTTCAAATTTCCAATTCAGGATGTCAGTCATCCCTGGGCCAGTGTAGCCACACTGTATACATACCAAACTGTTAGTCACTTGCTTAGCTCTCTAGATTATCAGATCAACCATCACAGTATCTCAATGTTTATGTTCAAGAAACCTTTATTTTACTTAATCGTGACCCCAAAACATGAGAGTAATGATGCTGACCATTCACATATGCCAAAGAGAAGGCTTAAAGTGCTTTCTTTAAGTGAAAAGATAAAAGTTCTTGACTAAAGGAAAAAAGATCATAGATTGTTAAGCGATGAAAAATAATCACTTAGTGAATATCTCTTAGATAATTAGTACCTGGCTTATATTCAAATAATCATAGGTTGTTAAGTGAAAAGAACAAATTTGTGAAATTATGAAGAAGGAAAAAAGAATTCATCCTAGCGTTACTGTCACACCTCAAACTGCAAAAGTTATGGCCACAGTGCATGGTCAAGTGTTTAGTTATGATGAAAAAGACATTAAATTTTTAGGTGAAAGACATAAATAGAAATGAGTTCTGTTTGACAGCAATTGTGTTCTGTAATGTTCATGGATTTAGGCAACTATAGGGAATCTTAGAATGTATTTCTCGTGGTTAAGGGAGGAACTATTATATATTTTTCTTTGATAATCTCCCAACAGCATTTTTCTGTAGCATTCTCAGAAGCTCCTATTAATTGGATATTTGATTTATTGTAGTAGGGTCTATTTTTTCTCTTGTTTTCAATTTGTCTACATTTTAGTTCTATATTCTAAACTATTACTTTCGTTTTTTATCTTCTAGCCTTTCATCATTTTTAGTCAGCTTTTTAATTTACAAAATTGTGCATTTTTTAAAAAAGTTTTTGTTTTACAGCATTTTTTATAAATGCAATATCTTCTCTTAGATTTTGCAGACATTGAATCTAATAGTTCTGTTACAATTCTGCACTAATCCTGAATTTTCTTAAATTGTCTCTTTTGTTATCTATCATTTATGTAGAACAATTTATTGGAATGTCTGTTGAATTGACCACCATTTTTTCTTTAGTATTGAGGCACTAATAAGCTATGTAAAGCTCTGAGAACTGTATGGGAAGTACAGATAGATCGGCCTCATCTTGGTGTGATGGTCCAGGCACCAACCTATTTCACTGGACTATGGCAAATTGAAATCCGTCTATTAGGCAAGCACTTTCCCAAAGAAGGATGCCCAACCTCCCACATAGGGGCTACTTGCCTATTCTATTTGAATTAGTTGCCTATTAGGAGTAATAGTCTCTAATACATATCTTGTAAACAATTTCTCAGTCAATTTTTTCCTTAGACTGTGCTTATGGTGAAAATATAAAAGGGTGCAGAATAAGATATCTGAAAATCTAGGTTCAAGTGTCTATATCTACATTTATTTGATATTTGGCTTTGGACAAGCCACAGACATTCCTTAAGTTAATTTTGTCTTCTTGAAAATGCTGTTAACCTCAGCAAGGAACAAATGAGATAATATGAATAAAATAGTTTCATGGATTATAAAATAGTCCATTATATGAGGTATTATTGTTATGACAGCAATCACTGAAGAGCACCTACTATAATAGAAAATTTTATTTATGCAAAATATGTCATAAAGGAAAAAAATTATATAATGTGTTGAGCATGCTATCAAGTATTGTATATTGCTCAAGGGGCATTTCTATAAGAACTTGGCATTGCTATTCTCTCAGTGTCAAATACATCATTGTGGCTGCATTCTATAACACCATAATTTGGGGCATCTTTCACAAATTTCTCATATAATGAATATACACAATTTTCCATATTGAAGCAAAAATAGAGAGTGCTGGTTTCTTATGACTGAAAAAGATTATAGTTTATTGTAGAAATAAATTCTTATCAAGGGCTCTGTGCCCTTTGTTTCAACAAGCTTTAAAAGCCTAGTTCAAATAGGTTCCTTAATGGCTGATGAAATATACAAAACATACTGAAATATTGGGAAAAATCTGGGGCGGTTCAGCATGTGCAAATACAGATATCTCAGTCTGTGCTTCCTGTTGTGCAGATGGAATTCTCCCCACTGGGCCTGGAATGAGTCCATAATATCCTGCCATATACACACATCCAGGGCTCAAGCCCACGGCAATCTTTTCATTATCAAACCTACTGTCAAAACATTGGCATCATATCAAGAACATGGAGACAACAAAGCTAAATTATCAGTTACTATGACAGAGAATGCTAGATTGGCTACATAGATATTACCTTTGCGTTAGAGATAATTATTCCAAAAAAGAGTGAATGAATCATTTTCATATGATGAGGCAAAATTTCAAATCTTATCTTTCAGGGATTTCTGCATTTAAACATCATATATATGTGGGGTTTTGTGGTGTGTATATGTGTGTGTGTCATATCTCTCTATATATGCACATATAACATGTACATGTACATATTACATATTACATATATTTATATTAAATTATCATTATACTTAGTGAAAAAAATCTATCCTGATCCCCACTTCTACTTAACATCCACATCTACCTAAACATATAAAAAGAAAATTATTTTCCTGTCTTTATTTTTTTGATTTTTGTCTATATTTACATGTGACAAAGGATGTAAAATCTAGTCCCCCTTATTACATATAAAGTAGCATACAACCACACACTTCTGTACCTCACTTTCTTCATTTAATAGTAGTTAGTGTGCTAATACTAATATATACATTTCTCATTATTTTGTACAGAAACATATTTTCCACTTTATGAGAATCCATAATTATTTAACCAGTGCCTTCTTAGTAGCATATTACAAATAATTTAATATTTAAAGACTACTTTAATGGAAACCTACACAAGTCATTTCCCAGGAGAGCAAGCACAAGTAGACACATGGATTAAAAGGTTATACACATTTATAATTGTAAAAGATATTGTCGTGTTTTCTACATAGAGATTGTAGAAATTTAATATGCAAATGGAAGTATATAAAACTGCCTGTTTCCTCACAGCCTCACCAATGTATTATGTAATCTCACTATGGGCTTTGAGTCAATATATTATGTATTTGGGAAGAGAGTGGCTTGGTGTAATTTCAAATGTAATTTTATCTTATTAGAAGTGAAGTTGAGCATTTCTTCATCTGTTTAAAAAACAGCTATACTTATTCTGTGACTGAATATTAGATAGTTTTGCTCATTTGTAATAAGAGTTTTGAACCTTTTCTCATTGACTTCTAGAAACTCTTCATGTAATTAGGATATTATCCCTTTAATAAAGTATGAGATACAAACACCTTTTTATTTCAAGTTTCATGTTTGCTCATCTGAATAGGTGCATGGTGTGAAGTAATATGTAGAAGTTTTTGACTTTTATGAAGTCATGATTATCAATATTTTCATATATATCTTCAGAATTTTAATAATATTAGAAAAGTCTTTCTATTTCAATACTCTGAAGACATTCTCCCTTCGTTTTTATTTTTATTTTTATTTTTTTCTTCATTTAAAAAGTGCCTTTTTGACTTATAAATCTAATTTTATTTTTTTCAAGATTATTATTCAGTTTTCCCTCAATTTTTGGCATTCTCTTTCATTCATTTGGCTTTATAATATTAATTTCTACTATTTTTTATTAAAATGTGTATATATTTAAGGTGTACAGAATTGGTGACATGTTTTATTATATATAGTGATATTATTACTATAGCCAAGCTAATTAACATATCCATCATCTTACATATTGACTCTTGTGCTTGTGGGGAAAACACTTAAGATCTACTCTTTTAGTAAATTTCAAGTACATAATATAACATTATTAACTATAGTCATTATGCTGTACATTAAATCTCTAGAACTTACTCATTCTACCTAACTGAAACTTTTTACACTTTGACTAACATCTCTCCATCCCCACACCATTGTTAACTACCATTCTACTTTATGCTTCTATAAATTTGGCTTTTTTAGATTCCAGATATAAGTGAGATTAGACAGTATTTTTCTTTCTCTGTCTGGCTTATTTCACTTGGCATCATGTCCTCCAGTTTCACTCATGTTTCAGATGGCAGAGTTACCTTCTTTATAAAGGCTGAGTAATATTTCATTATTTCTTTATGCATCAATTTACCAGGTACTTAGATTGTTGCCATACATTGGCTATTGTAAATATGTAGCCATGAACATGGGAGTGCATCTATCTCCTTGGCACACTGATTTCAAATTCTCTGCATATAAAGCCAGAAGTGAGATTCCCGGATAGTAGGCTAGTTCTATTTTTAACAGTGAGGGAACTCCACACTGTCTTCCATAACGGCTATATTAATTGGCATTCCCCAAATCGGTATACTAGAGTTTCCTTTTCTCCACATTCTTACCAAAACTCATTATCTTTTGCATTTTTATAATGGCCATCCTAACAGGTGTAAAGTGATACCTCATTGTAGTTTTTATTTAATGAAAACTACTGACAATTAGTAATGTTGACCATTTTTCATATACCTCTTGGCCATTTGTATTTCTTCTTTGAGAAAATGTCTATTCATGTCTATTTTAAACCCAGGTTATTTGTTTTGTTTTTGCCTCTGAGAGTGTACGTGTTACTTATATATTTTTAATATTAACCTCTTATGAGATATCTGGCTTGCAAATATTTTCTGTCAATCTGTAGGTTGCCATTTCATCATGTTTTTTACTTTTTCTGTGCAGAAGCCTTTTAGTTTGGTATACTCCCAGTTAATTGATTTTTGCATTTTTTGCCTGTACTTTTGCAGTCATAGCCAAAAGGCAATTGCCAAAACCAATGTCAAAACTTTTTCCTATATTTCCTTCTAGGACTTTTAAGGCTTACATTTAAGTCTATAATTCATTTTGATTTTATTTTTGAGTATGATATATGATGAAGGTCTAGTTTTATTTTTTTGCATGTCAATACTCAGTTCTTCTAATGCCATTTATTGAAGAGACTATTATTTCCCTATTATATATTCTTTGTGCTCTTGGCAAAGACTAGTTGATTAATTGATAAGCATGGTTTATGTCTGGGCTGTCTATTCTCTTCTGTTGCTCTATGTGAGTGTATGGCAGTACTAAACTGTTTTGATTACTATGTATTTTTGATTAGCTTTGTAATACAATTTAGGAAATATGATGCCTTCTACCATGTTCTTGCTCAGAATTGCTTTGGTTAGTTAGAGTCTTTTTGTTCAATAAATATTTTAGAATTTTTATTTTTATTTTTATTTTTTTTTTATTTTTATTTTTTTTTTATTTTATTTTTTTTTTTATTATTATTATACTTTAAGTTTTAGGGTACATGTGCACATTGTGCAGGTTAGTTACATATGTATACATGTGCCATGCTGGTGCGCTGCACCCACTAACGTGTCATCTAGCATTAGGTATATCTCCCAATGCTATCCCTCCCCCATCCCCCGACCCCACCACAGTCCCCAGAGTGTGATATTCCCCTTCCTGTGTCCACGTGATCTCATTGTTCAATTCCCACCTATGAGTGAGAATATGCGGTGTTTGGTTTTTTGTTCTTGCGATAGTTTACTGAGAATGATGGTTTCCAATTTCATCCATGTCCCTACAAAGGACATGAACTCATCATTTTTTATGGCTGCATAGTATTCCATGGTGTATATGTGCCACATTTTCTTAATCCAGTCTATCATTGTTGGACATTTGGGTTGGTTCCAAGTCTTTGCTATTGTGAATAATGCCGCAATAAACATACGTGTGCATGTGTCTTTATAGCAGCATGATTTATAGTCATTTGGGTATATACCCAGTAATGGGATGGCTGGGTCAAATGGTATTTCTAGTTCTAGATCCCTGAGGAATCGCCACACTGACTTCCACAATGGTTGAACTAGTTTACACTCCCACCAACAGTGTAAAAGTGTTCCTATTTCTCCACATCCTCTCCAGCACCTGTTGTTTCCTGACTTTTTAATGATTGCCATTCTAACTGGTGTGAGATGATATCTCATAGTGGTTTTGATTTGCATTTCTCTGATGGCCAGTGATGGTGAGCATTTTTTCATGTGTTTTTTGGCTGCATAAATGTCTTCTTTTGAGAAGTGTCTGTTCATGTCCTTCGCCCACTTTTTGATGGAGTTGTTTGTTTTTTTCTTGTAAATTTGTTTGAGTTCATTGTAGATTCTGGATATTAGCCCTTTGTCAGATGAGTAGGTTGCGAAAATTTTCTCCCATGTTGTAGGTTGCCTGTTCACTCTGATGGTAGTTTCTTTTGCTGTGCAGAAGCTCTTTAGTTTAATTAGATCCCATTTGTCAATTTTGGCTTTTGTTGCCATTGCTTTTGGTGTTTTGGACATGAAGTCCTTGCCCACGCCTATGTCCTGAATGGTAATGCCTAGGTTTTCTTCTAGGGTTTTTATGGTTTTAGGTCTAACATTTAAATCTTTAATCCATCTTGAATTGATTTTTGTATAAGGTGTAAGGAAGGGATCCAGTTTCAGCTTTCTACATATGGCTAGCCAGTTTTCCCAGCACCATTTATTAAATAGGGAATCCTTTCCCCATTGCTTGTTTTTCTCAGGTTTGTCAAAGATCAGATAGTTATAGATATGCGGCATTATTTCTGAGGGCTCTGTTCTGTTCCATTGATCTATATCTCTGTTTTGGTACCAGTACCATGCTGTTTTGGTTACTGTAGACTTGTAGTATAGTTTGAAGTCAGGTAGTGTGATGCCTCCAGCTTTGTTCTTTTGGCTTAGGATTGACTTGGCGATGCGGGCTCTTTTTTGGTTCCATATGAACTTTAAAGTAGTTTTTTCCAATTCTGTGAAGAAAGTCATTGGTAGCTTGATGGGGATGGCATTGAATCTGTAAATTACCTTGGGCAGTATGGCCATTTTCACGATATTGATTCTTCCTACCCATGAGCATGGAATGTTCTTCCATTTGTTTGTGCCCTCTTGTATTTCCTTGAGCAGTGGTTTGTAGTTCTCCTTGAAGAGGTCCTTCACATCCCTTGTAAGTTGGATTCCTAGGTATTTTATTCTCTTTGAAGCAATTGTGAATGGGAGTTCACTCATGATTTGGCTCTCTGTTTGTCTGTTGTTGGTGTATAAGAATGCTTGTGATTTTTGTACATTGATTTTGTATCCTGAGACTTTGCTGAAGTTGCTTATCAGCTTAAGGAGATTTTGGGCTGAGACGATGGGGTTTTCTAGATAAACAATCATGTCGTCTGCAAACAGGGACAATTTGACTTCCTCTTTTCCTAATTGAATACCCTTTATTTCCTTCTCCTGCCTGATTGCCCTGGCCAGAACTTCCAATACTATGTTGAATAGGAGCGGTGAGAGAGGGCATCCCTGTCTTGTGCCAGTTTTCAAAGGGAATGCTTCCAGTTTTTGCCCATTCAGTATGATATTGGCTGTGCGTTTGTCATAGATAGCTCTTATTATTTTGAAATACGTCCTATCAATACCTAATTTATTGAGAGTTTTTAGCATGAAGAGTTGTTGAATTTTGTCAAAGGCTTTTTCTGCATCTATTGAGATAATCATGTGGTTTTTGTCTTTGGCTCTGTTTATATGCTGGATTACATTTATTGATTTGCGTATATTGAACCAGCCTTGCATCCCAGGGATGAAGCCCACTTGATCATGGTGGATAAGCTTTTTGATGTGCTGCTGGATTCGGTTTGCCAGTATTTTATTGAGGATTTTTGCATCAATGTTCATCAAGGATATTGGTCTAAAATTCTCTTTTTTGGTTGTGTCTCTGCCCGGCTTTGGTATCAGAATGATGCTGGCCTCATAAAATGAGTTAGGGAGGATTCCCTCTTTTTCTATTGATTGGAATAGTTTCAGAAGGAATGGTACCAGTTCCTCCTTGTACCTCTGGTAGAATTCGGCTGTGAATCCATCTGGTCCTGGACTCTTTTTGGTTGGTAAACTATTGATTATTGCCACAATTTCAGATCCTGTTATTGGTCTATTCAGAGATTCAACTTCTTCCTGGTTTAGTCTTGGGAGATTGTATGTGTCGAGGAATGTATCCATTTCTTCTAGATTTTCTAGTTTATTTGTGTAGAGGTGTTTGTAGTATTCTCTGATGGTAGTTTGTATTTCTGTGGGATCGGTGGTGATATCCCCTTTATCATTTTTTATTGTGTCTATTTGATTCTTCTCTCTTTTTTTCTTTATTAGTCTTGCTAGCGGTCTATCAATTTTGTTGATCCTTTCAAAAAACCAGCTCCTGGATTCATTGATTTTTTGAAGGGTTTTTTGTGTCTCTATTTCCTTCAGTTCTGCTCTGATTTTAGTTATTTCTTGCCTTCTGCTAGCTTTTGAATGTGTTTGCTCTTGCTTTTCTAGTTCTTTTAATTGTGATGTTAGGGTGTCAATTTTGGATCTTTCCTGCTTTCTCTTGTAGGCATTTAGTGCTATAAATTTCCCTCTACACACTGCTTTGAATGCGTCCCAGAGATTCTGGTATGTTGTGTCTTTGTTCTCGTTGGTTTCAAAGAACATCTTTATTTCTGCCTTCATTTCGTTATGTACCCAGTAGTCATTCAGGAGCAGGTTGTTCAGTTTCCATGTAGTTGAGCGGCTTTGAGTGAGATTCTTAATCCTGAGTTCTAGTTTGATTGCACTGTGGTCTGAGAGATAGTTTGTTATAATTTCTGTTCTTTTACATTTGCTGAGGAGAGCTTTACTTCCAACTATGTGGTCAATTTTGGAATAGGTGTGGTGTGGTGTTGAAAAAAATGTATATTCTGTTGATTTGGGGTGGAGAGTTCTGTAGATGTCTATTAGGTCCGCTTGGTGCAGAGCTGAGTTCAATTCCTGGGTATCCTTGTTGACTTTCTGTCTCGTTGATCTGTCTAATGTTGACAGTGGGGTGTTAAAGTCTCCCATTATTAATGTGTGGGAGTCTAAGTCTCTTTGTAGGTCACTCAGGACTTGCTTTATGAATCTGGGTGCTCCTGTATTCGGTGCATAAATATTTAGGATAGTTAGCTCCTCTTGTTGAATTGATCCCTTTACCATTATGTAATGGCCTTCTTTGTCTCTTTTGATCTTTGTTGGTTTAAAGTCTGTTTTATCAGAGACTAGGATTGCAACCCCTGCCTTTTTTTGTTTTCCATTGGCTTGGTAGATCTTCCTCCATCCTTTTATTTTGAGCCTATGTGTGTCTCTGCACGTGAGATGGGTTTCCTGAATACAGCACACTGATGGGTCTTGACTCTTTATCCAACTTGCCAGTCTGTGTCTTTTAATTGCAGAATTTAGTCCATTTATATTTAAAGTTAATATTGTTATGTGTGAATTTGATCCTGTCATTATGATGTTAGCTGGTGATTTTGCTCGTTAGTTGATGCAGTTTCTTCCTAGTCTCGATGGTCTTTACATTTTGGCATGATTTTGCAGCGGCTGGTACCGGTTGTTCCTTTCCATGTTTAGCGCTTCCTTCAGGAGCTCTTTTAGGGCAGGCCTGGTGGTGACAAAATCTCTCAGCATTTGCTTGTCTATAAAGTATTTTATTTCTCCTTCACTTATGAAGCTTAGTTTGGCTGGATATGAAATTCTGGGTTGAAAATTCTTTTCTTTAAGAATGTTGAATATTGGCCCCCACTCTCTTCTGGCTTGTAGGGTTTCTGCCGAGAGATCCGCTGTTAGTCTGATGGGCTTTCCTTTGAGGGTAACCCGACCTTTCTCTCTGGCTGCCCTTAACATTTTTTCCTTCATTTCAACTTTGGTGAATCTGACAATTATGTGTCTTGGAGTTGCTCTTCTCGAGGAGTATCTTTGTGGCGTTCTCTGTATTTCCTGAATCTGAACGTTGGCCTGCCTTGCTAGATTGGGGAAGTTCTCCTGGATAATATCCTGCAGAGTGTTTTCCAACTTGGTTCCATTCTCCACATCACTTTCAGGTACACCAATCAGACGTAGATTTGGTCTTTTCACATAGTCCCATATTTCTTGGAGGCTTTGCTCATTTCTTTTTATTCTTTTTTCTCTAAACTTCCCTTCTCGCTTCATTTCATTCATTTCATCTTCCATCGCTGATACCCTTTCTTCCAGTTGATCGCATCGGCTCCTGAGGCTTCTGCATTCTTCACGTAGTTCTCGAGCCTTGGTTTTCAGCTCCATCAGCTCCTTTAAGCACTTCTCTGTATTGGTTATTCTAGTTATACATTCTTCTAAATTTTTTTCAAAGTTTTCAACTTCTTTGCCTTTGGTTTGAATGTCCTCCCGTAGCTCAGAGTAATTTGATCGTCTGAAGCCTTCTTCTCTCAGCTCGTCAAAATCATTCTCCATCCAGCTTTGTTCCGTTGCTGGTGAGGAACTGCGTTCCTTTGGAGGAGGAGAGGCGCTCTGCGTTTTAGAGTTTCCAGTTTTTCTGTTCTGTTTTTTCCCCATCTTTGTGGTTTTATCTACTTTTGGTCTTTGATGATGGTGATGTACAGATGGGTTTTCGGTGTTGATGTCCTTTCTGGTTGTTAGTTTTCCTTCTAACAGACAGGACCCTCAGCTGCAGGTCTGTTGGAATACCCTGCCGTGTGAGGTGTCAGTGTGCCCCTGCTGGGGGGTGCCTCCCAGTTAGGCTGCTCGGGGGTCAGGGGTCAGGGACCCACTTGAGGAGGCAGTCTGCCGGTTCTCAGATCTCCAGCTGCGTGCTGGGAGAACCACTGCTCTCTTCAAAGCTGTCAGACAGGGACACTTAAGTCTGCAGAGGTTACTGCTGTCTTTTTGTTTGTCTGTGCCCTGCCCCTAGAGGTGGAGCCTACAGAGGCAGGCAGGCCTCCTTGAGCTGTGGTGGGCTCCACCCAGTTCGAGCTTCCCGGCTGCTTTGTTTACCTAAGCAAGCCTGGGCAATGGCGGGCGCCCCTCCCCCAGCCTCGTTGCCGCCTTGCAGTTTAATCTCAGACTGCTGTGCTAGCAATCAGCGAGATTCCGTGGGCGTAGGACCCTCTCAGCCAGGTGTGGGATATAGTCTCGTGGTGCGCCGTTTTTTAAGCCGGTCTGAAAAGCGCAATATTTGGGTGGGAGTGACCCGATTTTCCAGGTGCGTTCGTCACCCCTTTCTTTGACTCGGAAAGGGAACTCCCTGACCCCTTGCGCTTCCCAGGTGAGGCAATGCCTCGCCCTGCTTCGGCTCGCGCACGGTGCGCGCACACACTGGCCTGCGCCCACTGTCTGGCACTCCCTAGTGAGATGAACCCGGTACCTCAGATGGAAATGCAGAAATCACCCGTCTTCTGCGTCGCTCACGCTGGGAGCTGTAGACCGGAGCTGTTCCTATTCGGCCATCTTCGAATTTTTATTTTTATTTCTGTGAAAGAAGCTTAGAATTTTGATAGGATTGCATTGAATCTACATATTGTTTTGGAAGTATGAACATTTAAAAAATAATAATTTTTCCAATCCATGAACATGGGGTATCTATCCACTCATTTGTGTCTTTTTCAATTTCTTTCATCGATACTATAGTTTCATGTCATATATCAATATGTATAGTTTTCAGAATACAAATCTTTCACTATATTACTTAAATTTATTCCTAATTTTTGTTGCTATTTAAAATGGGATTTTTCCTTGATTTTTTGGTACAGTTTGTCTTCATTTCTTCCCTTTCAGAGTCTTCCTGATTAGTCCTTATTGGTTCACATAAATCTAAAATTAACAGGTTTAGCTCCAAACATTACAAAAACCAAAGAAAATTAAAAACAAGGAAACAAAACAAATATTCTCTCTGTTATTACTAATGAAACCATGTTGAATTTATAAACTCATGTCGGAGTTAATTCAAATTTTAAGCCTAGCATTTTAAATTGAATTATTTCAAAAAGATACTTTTGTCTTGTGTTATAGAAGAGGAATAAAAAAAGAATAAAAATGATTTTGAAATGGGATACATTGTTATTTAAATATTATTTTATAGTTCTGTCCAATTATATCTTAAGCATCTTTGAGGTTGATAACAACATATTACAATCTTACTTTTTCCTTCATAAAGAATAACAATTTTTAATACACAAAACAAAGCCTTAGAAAATATTTATTGGAATAAGTCTTAAATATGATTACAATAATTGTGTTTAAGGATATATTAGGCAACTCCTCCCACTTTATATAAAATGCTTACAGTTAGCCACAGCACACAGTTTATAGATATAATTTGTATAGTATTATATATAGTTTATTTTATTTCGCTATTATATGTATATATGTATATATAATGTTTATCCAATGTTAGATCTAATTTGTGTGTATGTGTGTGACAGCGTCTTGCTCTGTCACCCAGGCTGGAGTGCAGTGGTGCTATCTCAGCTCATTGCAACTACCTCCCAGTTCAAGTGATTATTGTGCCTCAGCCTCCTGCGTAGCTGGGCATGCACAACCACACGAGCTAATTTTGTTGCTGTTGTTGTACTTTTAGTAGAGAAGGGTTTTGCCATGCTGCCCAGGCCTGTCTCAAACTCCTGGCCCTAGTGATCCACCAGCCTCGGCCTCCCAAAATGCTGCGATTACAGACATAAGCCACCATGCCTGGCCGGATTTTACATATTATTTAAATTTTATAATACAAAGATACAAAATGTAATGTATATAAAAGTTGAATGATTTCCAGCTGACCAGTTAGCAGATATTTTAACATAAAAAACCATGTTTTTTTCAAGTTTTAAACATTAATAATTCTGGATCATTCACAGAATTGTAGCACTGAGTGTTTAGTGTCATAGACTTGTCCATGGTTCTAACTGGAATTCCAAAATTTCACATCATTTAAATTTTGCCAAATGGCTTGATATTATGATAGTGAACCTATTTTCTCCTGATATCTTAATTGAATTCTGTTCATAATCATAAAATGTATTAATTTAGATTTTAAAAATACTGGTAGATTTACCAATAATTTTACTTTTACTAGTCTGAATCTACTGGTTTGCATCAAATATAATAGAGCCCCAGATATAGAAATTTACATATCAGAGATTGGTATAAATGTCTATGTTCCTTTTGTTATAAATCCCCATCTTAATATTTTAAAACATAGAGTTAATATTATTATAATTAAAATATTCTTCCAAGTTCCCAATGTAAAAAGATACCACAGAAATATTTTAAATGCTACAGATTGTTTTTATATTTTCCATACCACCAGAAAGTTTCATGAAAATTCACGAGTTTTTAATATTAAAAGGAATGTGTGATTGTAAAATCATTCACACATACTGACATGCAGTATGAAAATATCCAAAAATATATGTAACCTACAATTAAAATACCACTAAACTATCTACTTTCAGGACTTAAAGTATATTTCTCAAATATTTTTATCTAGTAAAAAATTGTTGATAAGACATAAAAATAGATTCATGCTTACTTATACATAGATGTAGAAATAGATATAAATAAACAGGAATGTAAAAAGATTATTTTCAGAGTCACTGAATAGTTAGTATAATTGTAACAAAATTGAATATAACCAGACCTTGAAAATTGGAAGTATCAAGAGTGTTCTCAATAATTTTCTCTTTTATATTTTATAAGTGCCCATTTTAAAATTCTTTAAATTTGATTATCATTCTATTCACTTTTTCTAAAAAAAAAAGTCAGATTGGTGTAGATTGTATTACAGTTATTGACATGACAGTTCTCACTCGCATGTCCCCAATGCCAGCCAGAAATGCAAGAACCAGAAAAAAGTATAACTACCCCTCCAAAAATGTGCTACTACCAAAATAAAATTGTTGCTAATAATTGTTAAAGGCCTATTTTCAGAAAGCCTTTTAAAATAGAAAATATTTTATTCATAATTTTATTTCTATATGTCTATATATATATTCATATGTAGACTTATATTTAAGACATCTATGATCATCATTTTGTTTCTTTTCTCAAAATACCAGTTGTTGCACAACTTTACTGAAAGTAAGGAATAATAAAGATACATTTCAAACTTTGCCTTGGAGGAAATCTCTTTCACATTTTTCAGGTATGTGAAAGACAATCATAAGATAAATTTCCCCAAATTTTCTCTGTATTCAGGAAAATGTTTGTCCTTTATATATAAAAATTACAATAATATATTACCTTTTATTATGTTTTTAATGTAATATCCACGTAAAAGTCATTTTTACCAATATGCAAAAAAGCATCAATAGCCAATAAGATGCAATAACATTTGTTTTTAGAAAGAAAAAGGTGATAGGAAAGTGTAAATTTATTGGCATAATATATGCATTCCAACTATCATTATAGACATTTATTAAAGAGTGTTTGTTACAAGAAGATTATTGAACAGAAACCATCAGAGTGCCTTCTTATAAAATAATTGACCACTCAGATGCATGGTTCTGTTTAGAAATCATTGTTGAAAGGTTAATGGTTATAGACACAAAGCAAAAGATTTTATTGCCATTTAATTAACTATTCTGAGTATGGTATGAGATGCTGAGAGTAAAATGGAGCAGAGATTAGATTTAAAGCTTACATTTTTAATAAGCTTTATATAAAACAACTAATTAAGTATGCTAACTGCAGGGTTAATGTTGAGGCCCCAGTGTAAAACATTGGAAATGCAGCATTAAATGTTCTAATTAAAAACACTTTCAATTGCAATTATATCTTTAATAGAAAATTTAATTTTATAGAGTAGTATAGGGACTAAAATTAGCATTCTTATTTTATACACACACACACACACACACACACACACACACGCACATTCACACAGAGTTAAGCATGTACATTGTATTAGTAATGGGTTTCCAATATTTCTATGCCATTATTACTAAGGTAACTTTATTAAGAAAATTAAATACTAATGTTAACACAAAAATCATTTTTACATAAAAAATTTAGAGTAGCATGAATATCAAGCTTTATATTATGAAGTAACAATTTTCTTGATAGAACTAAATTATATCTGAAAGTTGTCAGAATCAAGATGGAGCCCATTTTTTTTTAAAGAAAATCTTGATAAATAGAGCCACCAAAAGCCTTGAAGAGAGGGTTTATATGCTTACAGGCCTGACGACAAAAAACTATCACAAAAGACTGCAAAAACCACAACCTTCCACAAAGGCTATTTGCAACCTTACACAAAAAATATCTCTGCAAAAACATCTGCCCGAGAACTGCCAGACCAATGTCAAACTGGAGTTATCTTTGTTATTGATCTTTTTAGCCAAGGATAATTATTTCAAAACAATAATATAGTCTTCCTCATTTTTTCCTTTAAATATCTTTATCTTCCTTTACCTCTCTGACTACACACATAGTTTACTATGGCACACATTTTCCCACTGCATTTCTCTATTCCCAAATAAATGCCATTTTCTGTTAGAGAACCTCTGTTTGTTATTTACATTATTTACATAGAAATTGTGGCTCCTATATGCAATGACTTAATCTTTAAATATATTTTACTACCTTGCTGTATCTTAATTTTTATTTATTAGAATTCTTGGCAGAAAATGACTCTTCGGACTGAGTTGTAATAGTGAAAAACCCATTTAAACTGGCTGAATTCATGTTGGTTGTGAACCAATGACTAGAATGTAGTTCAGACTCAAAAAATATAGAATCAGGTTATTGAAAGCCATGAGGATCTTCCTTTCTCATCTGAATCTCTCTGTGTCTCTAGCTCCAGCCAAAATTCCTCTATCTAGCAAAAAAAAAAAAAAAAAAAAAAAAAAAAAAAAACATGGCTTTTACCAGTTCCTGAGATTTAGATTTTGTAGTTTGAATCGCCTGTAAGAATAATAACGTGCTCTAGCTTCTAGTTTAAAAACCTTATGCAAAGGATTCATTGCCCAGTCTAGGACTAATCCTAGCCATTCTGTGGCCACCCTACTAACTGTACCTTTGATGAGGCAAGGAGAAGCTATGATACTAACTTGTAATCCCCATGATAATTATGTGATTGTGAAGGAGGTAGTTGCTAGAAAAGGAGTAGAGTTTCAGAAAATTCCAACAATTAAAAAACAATGGAGTATTAAAATTATTTTGTTTTTCAGTTGCCCATTTAAGAAACTTTTCTCTGGAACATTCTTGATGATTGATCCCCTCTTTGTGTTTAAATAATTCTCATTGTTAAGAATGTATTATTTTGATCACTATTTCTTGCAAAATGCAGGCAGGCAGCTATGACTTCCAATCTTTAGTCTGCTTCGTGTTCCATATGTGACTTTTTGCAGAGGCCTAACTTCCATAATCTCAGTTAACTGTCCCTTCTGCCCAGCAGTGTGAAAAGGACTAAGTAGAAGAATGTGGCAGAGCAGCAAGCTTCTCTATGGATGAAGCTTCTGAAAATGTTAGTTCTTGTGCTGTTAGAAAATCTTCTCAGATTCTGCTACAAACTGCCTTGATTTTTGTTCATTCTGCTAGTTCTGTCATGGAGATTCATGCAAACAATGTCAAAATGCTCTTCTACAAAAACACTTCGAATACTTGAGGATAGTTGATACGTTTTCTTTACATGCACCTGCTATATTTGAACCTAAGCAGAATTTTATCTGCATGCAAATTTTATCTTGCTATATTTGACCTCCTATTCCAGTCTGTCAGGATTTTAAACTACGGATTCCGGTGCGTGGAATTCTAGCTGTCAATCTCAGCTAGGTGTATTTGATAACCATAACTTCTATATCTTATCACATCATGGATAATAAATATTTGAAAGTGTAGATCCAGAGCAGATCCTGATCTTCTCTTTAAAGAATTCTATCAAGGTTGACATCTATCAACATACTTTGAATAAATATATTTAATAATCTACAGATCCACCTATTGGCCTTATATTCCAGCCCACATATTTTTACCTTGCCCAAAAATTTGTAAGGGAAGACTTAATCAGTCATTTTCTGCAACCAAGATTTGTAGATTTAACATAATGTCAATAGACATAACTAAGTAAAAGCAAATAAGTCTTTACAATCTCAGAAATTCAATTTTAATAAGATTAGTAACTATTGATGCTTAATATTCAGAATTGTGGATGCACCATATAATAATATACATGAAATAGTATTTTTATCAACAGCTAAGAGAAAGATAAAGTGGTATTATTATGATGCAGATTTCATTTATCTTAAATGAAACAACTACCAAAAAAAAAATAAGCCTAATTTGCCCCAAGTAGTAGTCACTGAATTCATGTTATATACTAGCAATTACTCCTCTCTAGCTCCTCCTATGCCATCTGTCTAGTTCCTCCTGTATTCTGTAGAGATTTGATGATACCACATACTGGATGATAATATTATTTCCTTAGAAATATGTTATACTTAATGCTTAGGTTCACAAGTAAGTCTTCAGGTGCTTAATTATCCATAATGTAGATATGTTTACCTTGGCTACATATTACAAATCCCTGAGGAGCTTAAAATGTTCTAGTGATCAAGCAATTAAATGCAAATTAATTGAATCATAGTCTCCACAGAAATCATTTTTAAAGAACACAAGATTGGTTCTAATGAATAGTCAGACTGGAGAACTGTGGACACCACCATTTCTAAGATTCTAAAAGCAGCATTGCTAAGACAGTGTGAGAAGAACACTCTTCTATGCCTAAGGTAAATTTATTAAATAGGAAAAGTCTATCTTACGTCCAAACATAGTCTTTTTTTTTTTTCTCTATGCCCTGAGAATATCTTCACACCTTAGTGAGCTCTGCACTGCGGAGCTTTTCCATTTCCACGTAACACATTTTTTCAGCAAAACTTGTTTTATTCTTCCTCTTCCATATTCAAAGTTCTCATCCCCTCTCAACACACAACGTATGTGCTTCTCAAGTAGCTTGTGAGGGAATTGGTTGTTACCTATCTAATGTCTCATATGAGAAAAAGAGCTTGTGTCAGAATGCAAATCTAAAGAATACTGTTTGGTTCACCTGTCATTCTTTTCTTAACCACTTTTTCCATGAAGGAAGACTGGTGTTGATTTACATTCTTGCACAAGTTTCTTATCTCATTGCAGAAGAGTAATAGTTTCCAGGTTGCTATGGGTCCACAGGGCCACAGTGTTATATAGCACTACTAATATTTAGCTTCTTAAAGCATAATCTGTAGACCAACAGTAGCAGGATTACTTGGAAGTGTGTTAGAATTGCAGAATTTTAGGCCCCATCTGAGTCAAATCTGAATTTTTAAGAAGATCACCCAAGAAACTCACTTCCACAGTAAAGTTTGAAAATCAGTGATTATCATGCACCTTAAAAAGAAAACAAGCTGATAGACAAATTTACACATGCACTGCTGGCTGACATGCTGATAGAGGAATTATCTTTTTCAAATAAAGTAGTGGTGGCATAATATTAGGAAGTATGAAGAGAATAGCATTTTTATCTATAAATCCCACTCTTCTCTCTATTGACTATGTGATATTAGGCTAGTAATTTAGTCTCTATGAGCCTCATTTTCTTGTCTTGTAAAATGAAGTTAAGAATACTTAACATTTCAGAGATTTCATGAGACTTAGTTCCAATGTACATAAAACACCTGGTACAAGACTGAGATATCATAGATGCTAAGTTAAGTCTATGGTTTCTCACAATATTGTAAAGCAGAAAAATTTGGAAGGAAAACCCCGGACAAAGGTGGTCAGGGTTTATGATGTCAATCATAGTGAGCTGATGGTCAGGAGATGTGGATTCTAGTTGTGATTTGGACTTACTCAGCATGTTGGTCTATGTCCATGGACCTAACATGCCAATGCCTCGGTTCTCTCATATATAAAAAGAGAATTTTGAAAAAGTAAATTTTGACCTTTAAACTTCATGAATCTGAGAGTTAATCAATATTTGACTGCTTTAATTAAATCAGCATTTTCAATTTCTATAAGTTGTATTTTTGACTATGAAGAGTTGAAATTATTTAAAATGGCTAGAAACCACTAATGATTGTCTTATATTACCCTTTAATTTTGGTCTATTCTTTGCATCTGAATTATTCTACATGACAAGAGTGACACAACAAAACATTGGATATGCTGTTTTCATTTCTCTATCATTCTTTAATATTATACAATTTATCTAAATTAATAGGCCATCTCTCCATTTTCTTTTCTATTTTGACCTTTAAAGTCCATGTTCAGTGATTTTATAAACCTTTTCTCAATGCACACATTTTTAGCTGTGTCTTTTCTGAAACTTTCCTTGTCTTGTTAGTGCCTCTTTTTATATTTATGGAAAATAAAATGCCATCTTTTCCTAAATTCTACATTCATTTTTTGTGAGAAGACAGTGCTACCTGCTGTATTACCTTGTTGTATTTTTCTATTTGACCCATATCCACTGTCTGCAGACTCTCCTCTCTCTTCTCAAAATTGGTGCCTCTCCTACATTGAAAGCAATATATGAGCTACATTTTTTAGACTTCCAGAATAATGAGAGGGGTTTGTAAATGACAAGCCAACATTAAAAACTAAGGTATGCCATAGACATTTGTTTTACCACATATTTTAATATCTCCTCATTCAAATACAAGCGAATGTGTAACAGGTTGAAGAAAACATCAAACTCCACATTTGAAGCCTTTTATAAATATGAGGGAACTTGTCCATCCTGGCCATCTTTCATCTACCTGAGAATTACTGGTCAAATATTATATTTTTTTTCGCTTTTTGAGTCATAACTGACAGAGCAGGAGCATCACCATCTTAGACAAGCACCACCATTTTAAAGTACCCCTTGATGTAAAACCACCTAAATCCAAAGGGCATCAGCATAATGGCTAAGGACAACATGACCATAAACCACAAATGACATCTCCAACCAGAAACATTCCAACCTTAAGATAAACCCCTCCCCAACCAGAAACATGCCAGCCCCAAGATAACCTCCCCTCCAGCAGGAGAGATGTCAGCCTCAAGATAACCTCCCCTCCAACCAGAGACATTCCAGCCCCACAATCAACTTCTCCTCCACGGAGAAACATTCCAAGTACTCCTTTGTTAAGTTCTCTCATCCTGAACCCTTAAATACTCTTAGTCTGTAGGAGAGAATGCTCCTGACCAAAATAGGCCAGAAGCCCCTCTCAGGTTTATTCTCCAAAATAAATCTGTCTTTGACTGTTGAACCACTTTCTGTGTTTCTTTCCTCTTTCTTTAACTCTTATATTTGGTGCCAAGACCCGGGATGGGTTTCAGGGGTAGAAGCTCTCTTGCAACCCAGGAAGCAGTGGGCAGTGGCAGCTCATCCCACTGGATCCTGAGAGTCTCTGGCCATCCACCCCATCTTGTCTCTCACTTCACTTTTTGAGTGATTTGCATGAGGAAAACAACTAACATGAAGGGGACTGCAAGGCTCAGGATAGGGCACTCCCCAGTGGACTACAAAACCCTCAGATATCAGGAATCCACCTCCGACCACCCCCAATGGGTATTTTGCTCTGTAACCCTTGTCCTCTCCTCCTCCCTCCTCTTCCTCCTCCTCCTCCTCTCTCTCTCTCTCTTCCTCGTGTGATTTACCAATTCCAACAAGAACATCCAACATGGGACACTAATCTCACTGACTGGTAAGATCTGCCCTCCCCTGGCTTTCTCCTGCTACCCAGGAAAGTCAGGTCTACCATCCCAGTCTTCAGAGAACCAGTGGGACTAAGCTAGAAAAAATACTGGGGACACCCAGTTTTTTCTCAGCTTAAACGTCCTCTTTAGAAAGAGGATTGCGAGTCTCTGTCGTTTGTCTGAGGATGCCGAGAACAAAAACAGACACACTCAGCCTCTTCTCACCAGTCACATGTGTGCCAAACAATCCCACATTCCTAGTCCTCACCACTTTTCACAGCCTCGCTTAACTTGGCTTACAGGAAGCATAAAGCCAAAGTGTTTGGTTTTTTATTGCAACATGGCCTGGCCCCGATATAAATTAGATAATGACAGCCAATGGCCTGAAAATGGGGTTCTTTGACTTTCAAATTCTCAGGGACCTTGAGAACTTTATAACCAGAAATGTCAAATGGCAAGAGGTTCTCTATATTCAGGCTTTCTTCTACCTTAGATCCCGACCCTCCCTGGGTCAAGCTTGCACCCCTCATGAAATCCTTCTTCTTAATGAAAACCCTCCCCTCGTCTCTCCTTGCTCCAAAATGCCTTCCTTAGAAATCCCTTCCTCCAAAACCCCTTTGACCCTATGCACGAACCCCCTCCATATTCTAATACCCTTGCATCCGCTCCTTGCCTGCCAGAACCCTCCGCCACAGTGGTCCTTCGTACCTGCAAGCCTTCGGCCCCAAATCCCACTCCTCCTCTTTCTCCACCTGTTATCTGTTCAGAAACTACTCCAACTGACCACAGGAGATGCAATCGCCTTGGCCTCCCAAAGTGCTGGGATTACAGGCTTGAGCCACACCTAGATCATGACATTGCACTCCAGCCTGGGCAACAAGAGTGAAACTCTGTCTCAAAAAGAAAAATTACTCCAGCTAGTCAAAATACTCTGCCATTCTCCTTCTCTGGAAAGTGGCTGGGGTTGAAGGCATTGCTTGTGTTCATGCGCTTTCTCCAAGTCTGATTTGTTGCAGATCAAACAGCGCCTGGGATCTTTCTCTGTAAATCCTTCTCATTATCGCTGGGAATTCCTGCACATAACCTAATCCTTTCATTTAACTTGGCATGATATTTATATAATTCTAACCTCCACCTTCACCCCGATGAAAAAGAGTGCTCAGCTTAATTAAAATAAATATTCTGAACTTTGAGTATATTCAAAAGGCCTTTATGTTTTTCTTTTCATAAATCTTGTTTGCCTGGAAAAGATTTTTTCCCAGTTGACTGAATTACTTTTCTGTCTTGCCACTCTTGGTGTATGAAAAACCCTAAAATGACTTCTAGTGGCCTCAGACTCCTTGGGAATAGAGAAAAGGCACCACAAATCCCGTTTTGGGAAAAATGTCTGTTTTCCTTATGGAACCAATGGAATTAGAGGTGAATAAGTACCTCTCAGAATCTGTCTTTGTCTTCCAGCTCTACTTGTTTATTAGGACCTGGAATCTGTTTTCCCAGCCCTGTTCTTAAAGGGCCTCACCCAAAGGCTAATAATCCAACTGGGAAATTAGCAAAAAAGAAAAAAATATAACTACTGGATCTTCTGGTTTTCTGTGGGACTGCATATGTGTTATGCGTGCAATGTCTATTAAAAAACTCTAATAGGCCTAAGAAAAATAAGTGCTTAAACCAAATATTTTTAAGGGAAAAGTAAAAGCTGTGTGACCTTCCAGCTCACATGACTTTAATCTTTAAAACTTACTAGTACAGTAAGATTACAAATGTCTTAAGAGTTGCCAGCATACATTTATAATCTTTGCTTGTGTAATTTTTTAATAAATGAAATATTAATATTGGTGTAATAAAGATAGCTACATTTTGAACTATTTAGTGAAATACCCTAACTTCTAATCCTGTGGCCTTAGGCAGTCTAGCCCACAGACATGAAGGAAGATTGTTTTGGGAAAGGACTGTTATCATCTTTGATATTAAAGTAAAGATAATTTATATAAAAAGGAATCTTATATGGTAAATTCTTGTACTAAAGTAAATTAACTGATTACTTAAAGAGAGGGATGTTTACAATAAGTCAGAAAGTCAAGGCATGTCAGAGATTGTCTGTGTAAGTCATGAAAAATTTTCTAAAAGGTAATTTATGCAAGAAATGTTGTGCAGTTTAAAAGTGACTAGGCCTCCTGAATGCTTTATAAAATGCCACTATAACTCTTAGCTGTACAACTTGCCCGCTTTACAGCTAGGTAAGACCTAAGACACATGGAGTTAAATGCTGGAATAAGTCAGACCTTATTTGCACTTCTGTCTAGGTCCTAGGCTCTACACCTAGTACATAATCAAAATCCCAAACTTACCAACAAAAGTAAAGGTTGCTAAAAGTTAACATAATATGTATTTAAGACTATTGAAAAAATAGTTTACATATACTTTTGGTAAAAAGATTATAAGGAGGCATGAGAATTTGGATTTTTACCTAGATTAAAAGGTTAAAGAAATGTTTTAAGTTGAATAAAATAAAAATGAAGGTTTAGGCAAGTTTTGGAAGGTTAATTGTAAAGGAAATTCTGTGTGTAAACATATTGGCTAAAGTTGAAGGGGTATCATCCTGTTTTTCTCTAAATTTTCCAAATTCTGGAAACTATCTGTGAGTATTCTTAAATTATGGCAATATAGTTGTTTGCATAAGTGCAATAAGAATCTGTTTTATTTTGTAACAGGGCACAATTGGAAAACCTAGTTATTTTTACCAAGGCTTTGACTGGAATGGTGTGCTTTCCTTTAAGGAATTAAATTTAACTTATGAAGCCAAGAAGGCCCTTAGGAAACTGGCCTCGTATTTTTTGTACACAGTCTCTGTACAGGGTTTCTGACCTGTGGTAAGTAAAGAATATCACTTTCTGACAGGCCGGGAACCCCAAATTGTTTTGGAATACCAAAACCATAGCATGGGTCATCCCATTCCTGGGTCCTCTCCTAACAATATGCCTAGGAGTAATGTTCTCACCTGCCTAATTAACACTTTTCAAATATTTTTAACTGACAAGGTCATGGCCATTTCACAGATAACTACCCAAAAACATATATAGATGGCATTACTTTTACAGTCAATCTGAGACCAGAAAACTCTCTGTCCCTTCATCACCAGGAAGTAGCCAGAAAGAACACGCCATCCTTCATCTGCTTTTATAACTATAGGGTCTAGATTGACAGAGCAGGAGCATTGCCATCTTGGACAAGCACTGCCATTTTAAAGTTCTCCTTGATCAAAAACCACCTAAATGTAAAGGGCATCTGCATAATGGCTAAGGTCAGCATGACCATAAGCCACAAATGACATCTCCAACCAGAAACATTCCAACCCTAAGATAAACCCCTCCCCAATCAGAAACATGCCAGCCCCAAGATAACCTCCCCTCCGGCAGGAGAGATGTCAGCCCCAAGATAACCTCTCCTCCAACCAGAGACATTCCAGCCCCACAATCAACTTCTCCTCCACACAGAAACATTCCAAGTACTCCTTTGTTAAGGTCTCTCGCCCTGAACCCTTAAATACTCTTAGTCTTTAAGAGAAAGCTCTCCTGAGCAAAATATGCCAGAAGTCCCTCTCAGGTTTATTCTCCAAAATGAACCCATGTTTGACTGTTGACCCACTTTTCGTGTTTCTTTCCTCTTGCTTTAACTCTTACAATAACTTCCATGTTAGTCTGCACATTCATCATGCTTAGTAATTAATTAAAGTAGAACAAGGTCTCACATAATTTTTTTTACGTTCTCTTGTAGCAGGAAGTCTACCTTACATATAGCCCAGCAACCTGGTGACCACCATCCCATCAAGCAAATGGTTTTCTGGCAAATTGGTAGGAAAAACAATGCTGTTTACAGCTGTCAGACACCGCAATTATTTTCAAATTTCCCATAGCTCCTAAATCTCAAATTAATCTAATATTTGTTGTGAATTCCTTTTAAAACCTGTTTTAAGTTTATTACTCAAATCACTCTCTTTAAAAAGTATCAAGAATACTACTCAAACTTGCTCCCCTAACTTGTGTTTGTGTGTGTGTATGTATCTGAATAGCCATGAATCTGTCACCTACTTTTATTTAGGCTTTCATTTTTCAAATTGTAACGAGAAATCTAAACATGATTTAAAACTGGGAAGTATTAGTTTTACATTAAAGAAGTAGAATCATTCAGGTTTACTGCAGTAAAAGTATGCATCCCTTAAAGCAAAGCTTTAATTTAAAGAGGTAGGGAAAGGGAGAAAAGTATATGGTGGTCTCTCCTTATGTTCATTGTACATAATGAGTTCTGCCTTTAGAAGGTGACATTCACATTTTTTTTTAAATCTACAAATAGCTAGATATTATCAAGTCAGCAAACTTTCATAAAAACACCTGGGCTCAAACATGCAAATACTATATACATTTCACTGGCATTTTTACCTCTTTGATTTATAAATGCCAGAGGTTTTGGATTGCTATGAGGGAAAAGAATGACACATTTCCTGATAAAGACAGGAGAGGTTCAGAATAAAAGGTAGCAATCTTTGTCAGGCTATATAGCCTCTAAGATACGTTTTATTATAGTTTACAAACAGAAGCATTTGTCCTGAACTGCCAGTGTTTTCACGCTGAAACATGTTAATGGAATCACATTCTACTCAATAAAACCACTTAACACATTACAGTAGTTTAAGTAGCCCAGTCTAGGAGTTGGCTATGAAAACCATTTGCCACAACAGGAACAAGAGAAAATAACAGAAAAGTCAAAAGAAAATACAGCATGCAGCTCATTATTCACTAAAGCGAATTTTGTATGTGTTTACACCAAAATGAAATGCAAATCTCCAAAATCTTACATAAGATTCTTGCTCTGATTTCATTGTAACAGCTCTCAGAACAATTTAAAATAAAGTCTTAATTAATGTAAAAGCATTTACATATTTTAACTAGCGTGTCTAAGTAATGCGGATATTATTGTTCTTCTCAAAAACAATTCTGGGAAATATATGTGACCTTAAAGATAGTCAAATGTCAAACACAGAGCACACACATACACCCACAAGCTGACTGAAGCTGGCTGTGATTACCTCACTCTGTTATTTTCTTCCACAGAAACAGTCATTATCTTGCCCTGTTCTTTTTGGTATTAACAGGTGATCACCTGCCATGTGGAAAATCTACATATTACTGTGTTAAGTTCAATTCATCCCAATTTTAAATTTGAAGTAGCTTCACTATATTGTGTGTGTCATTTGTGAAAGCAGAACCTAAGTTCAGCTAAATATTTCTGAATATCAAAAAAATTTTTCAAAGTAATGCTTTTCTTTTTCTAATGGAGATATATATTTTCAAAAATTTTTCAAGAGTGCTGGAACTTTTAGACTCAAATAAATTCAAACCCTGATGTATATTTAATGGGACTCAGTACTGTAGCACCTATTTTCCACAGTTTCTTCGAATTATCTAAAGTATGTGTCAAAATTCCTATTCCCCTTAAACTAATCCAGGATCAGTTTATATGATTAATTGTATATTAAATTTCAAAGTAATATCTAACTTACTCATGGAATTTTAAAAGACTTGTTATATATGATATAATGTAGAAAGCTAGATGTACTTGAGTCCAAATTCTTCTAATCAATTCTCCCCTCCTACCCTACAAAGAGGACAGATAAGGGCGAGCTTTATTATATATAGCTGGTGCCTCAGCATAGAATCAATAGTTACTAATACAACATATCCTTAATCTTCACATTTTTGCCTTGCACCAGGTCAGGAGTGTCATCCCTTCATGCTTTGCCAGAGTTCCATTAGTGACTAAATATAACGAGTTGAATAGTTTCCCACCAAATTCAGGTCTATTCAGAACCTCAGGATGTGACCTTATTTGGAAATACGGCCTGTATTAGTCAGATCTCATATCGCTAATAAAGACATACCCAAGAATGGGTAATTTATAAAGAAAAAGGTTTAATGGTCTCACGATTCCACATGGCTGGGAAGGCCTCACAATCACAGCTGAAGGCAAAGGAGGAGAAAGCTCACCTTACATGGCGGCAGGCAAAAGAGTGTGTGCAGGGGAACTCCCCTTTATAAAAACCATCAGATCTTGTAAGACTTATTCACCATCACAAGAACAGCATGGGATAGACCTGCCCCCATGATTCAATTACCTCCCACAGGGTTCCTCCCATGAAGCGTGGGAATTATGAAAGCTACAATTCAAGATGACATTTAGGTGGAGATACAGTCAAACCATATCAGAGTCTTTGCAGATGTAATTAGTTAATGTGAGATGATACTTGATTAGGGTGGGTCACAAATCCTATGACTTTTGTCCTTATAAGAAAAGGAAAAGACACATAGACGTATGTGTCACATGAAGGCCATGTGACAATGAAGGCAGAGATTGGAGTGATGCTTCTACAAGCTGAAGAATGCCAAGGATTGCAGGCAATTATCAATCACAAGTGAGGAATGGAAGAGGGTCTCTCAGAGCCTCCAGAAGGAGCCAGCCCTGCCTGTACCTGAATTACAGACTCTGGCTTCCTGAGCCGTGAGAGAATAAATTTCTTTTGTTTTAAGTCACTCAGTTTGTGGTAATTTAATAGGGTAGCCCCAGGAAAATAATACACTAGGCTTATTTCATTGTAGTTTAACATATCTTCTTGTATTTAACACTATTAATCTCCAAACTTGTGTAAACTTTATGATCCCTTTTGCCTATTTTACTAAAGGCACAGGAGAAAACCTAACGAAGTTTAAATTTCAGTCTCTGCAATGCAAGAGGCTCTTCCAAGGCTCTGTACCAGATACTCCTTTTAAAAAATTATTTATTTATTTATTTAATCAAAGAGAATCCCACAAAACCTTCATTTACTTTTGGCAAAAGAAGTTTCTGGACACCTACTAGAAGCCCAGTAACAGATTGCTAAATAAAGCAATGAATGAATGAATATATTTATATGCTACCCTTCAACTCTAACCAGCTGAAAAGTAATATTTAAAGCTAAAGTTAATATCTTCAAATATTCAGGATTTCCATGAGCATCATCCTTCATTCCTAGAAGCAAGCAGGATTTGGGACAATGATTATATCATTGTTGAGCAACTATAATAGGGTTGGTATGGACCAACAGTGGCAACATTTAAGTTCAAGGTAAATGTGCATGTTAAAATATATTCCCTATGACTTTATCATAAAAAAATTTGAGAAATTTTATAATATAATTTATTAGTATTTAAAAGAATTCATCAATTAATCAATTTTAATCCAGTACAAAATATAATTTGAATAATATTCTACTTGAAAATAACTGTCGTTGTCCCTCTTTACATTAAAACTACTAAATTCCTGTGTGAACAAATATATCATATATAGTCAGTTCTCCTTATTCATGGTACTTATGTTCTATAAAGGTACCATAAATACCAAATTAGCAAATACTGAACCAGTGTTCTTAAGGGAAATGCAGGTTAGGTTCCTGCAAGTCTCTGGTCATAACATTTTCATCAATTGACCAATATATAATCTGGTTTCCTGTGTTCCTCTTTAATTAGGTCTTTAGTTAATATACATTGATGTTTCATTAAAATTTAATTCAGGGCCAACAGCACTACTACTCAGGCCTAAATAAGCTTATCTAACATACATATGTTCTCCATAAGGCATATCCTAGTCACCATGCACTGAACACTACACAACACTTAAGCACTAACCTTGAGGACCATTATTAATCTTGAAATCACCCCCAAAAAAGCACAAAAACATGAAGAATGTGTCACTAAGTAGACTGCATAAGGACGCTTGTTTACAGTGTGGGAACTGAAACAAGAAGGTGAGGGTCACTTTCAACCTAAGCTGGAAATATGCACATTGGGCAACTCAAATTTTTTGCTGCTTTCACGTGTCCATGAATGATCATGAAAGTGTCACAACTATTAATTCTGGGATTACAGATAAATTGTAGGGAGCATGTGAATTTGCAAATACGGAATACATGAATGAGAATCTACTGCATTATGACTTTTTAATGAATCATTTTCCTTTTAGTTTTCATATTCTGTGATGGTTTCTTTCATCACTCTTCTACTTTCTCCCTCTAAGTTTTGTCAACTGTCTTGCCTGCCCACTACCACATCTCTCATCTGTGCTCCATTTCACCATTTGAAATCCCTGGGTCAATGCTACATTTCTTACTGTGTACCATGGAATTTTACATGGATTTCCCATTAAGACGCTGGCTATTTTCTTTTGGAGGGTTGCAATTTCTCCTAAGTATACTATTTTGGTTAATGGCACTGTGAAGGTTAATTTTATGTGTCTACATGTGTGGGTCACAAAGTGCCCAGGTATTTGGTCAAACATTATTCCATGTGTGTGCATGAGGGCGTTTCTACATGAGCTTAACATTTAAATTAGAATGAGTAAAGCAGATTATCCTCCCTAATGTGCATGAGACTCATCCAGTCAATTGAAAAACTTAATAGAGTAGGAAGGAATGTCACCTGACTTATTGCCTGAGCTGGGACTTCAGACTCCTGCCCTCAGACTGCAACTTATACCATCATCCCTCCTTGTTATCAGGAATTCAGACTCAGACTAGAACTACACCACTTCTATTACTCTTGGGTCTCCAGCTTGCTTACTGCATATCTTCTTGGGATTTCTCAACCTCCTTAATAATATGAGCTTATTTATTTATTTATTTATTTATTTTCTTTCTTTCAAGACGGGGTCTTGCTATGTCACCCAGGCTGGAGTGCAGTGATGCAATCATGGCTCTCTCTAGCTTCGACCTCCCAGGTTCAAGCAATCCTCCCACCTCAGCCTCCAGAGTAGCTGGGACCACAGGCATGCACCACTATATGTGGTTAATATTTTTTTTCAACTTTTTTTGTAGTTATGGGGTCTCAATATGTTGCCTAGGCTGGTCTTAAATTCTTGGGTACAGCTGATCCTCTTGCCTTGACTTCCCAAAGTTCTAGGATTACCGGTGTGAGCCACCACACTTGGTCCCAATTTCTTATATGAAATCTCTCTCTCTCTCTTTCTCTCTCTCTATATATATGTATACACACACACACACACACGCACACATTAGCCATATCATATACATACATATATATGTAATATATATATTATATGTGTGTGTGTGTGTGTGTATATATATATATATTTATATATATATATAAAATCTCCTATTGGTTTTCTTTCTCTGGAGAACCCTAACAGAGGCACCACTATTCTCAGAGTCACCCATATTTTGGATTTATCTTCCATTATATTCTTATTCCTCTCTCTCACAAATGAGTTTGTCAAGCCCTCTCATTTGTATCTTCCATTAAATATTCCATGATTATGGTAATAGTGCTCCAACTAGATATTCTAAACAGAATAGCGGCTGTACAAATACAAATTTATTTAAAATAGAAAGCTTCTGTAACAATGATCTATTGAAATATGTGTCCTGATGGTATTATATGTAAGAAAGTTGAACATTATGTCATACACACAATAATTTTATCAAAGTTCAAATACCAGGATACCAGAGAGAGCAAGAAAAATTAGACAAGTTACCATTGTAAACATGGAGGTTAAGTTAGATATTTAAGGATGCATAATATTTAAATACCAGGGAAGGATCAGAAAAGGGCACCCTGGGCACTGAGAATATAAGCAGAGACAGAGTAGGATATGAGCAGAGACAGTAGGATGAGTATATTCAGACAGAGAGTAATCTGCCAGAGTAAAGTAGAAGTTTGTGTAGAAAAATGATTGATTTCAATTTGTGAAGAATAGAAATGGCAGTTCATAATTGTGCATGACATCCAAACAGAAGTGTTGAGATGATGAAATTGGCAATAGTGTGTTAAACCCAGAAAAGCCAGTTAATTAGTTCTAGTTCAAGACCTAAGTCCTAAACACAAGGAGATCTGATGCTATAAATTTTCATCCAAGCTCAGGAGAAGACCTGTGTCTCAGCTCAACCAGTGCTTTTACAGCTCTACGCAAGTGCAGAGTACTGAAA
Source organism: Homo sapiens (assembly GCF_000001405.40). Taxonomy (NCBI): domain Eukaryota; kingdom Metazoa; phylum Chordata; class Mammalia; order Primates; family Hominidae; genus Homo; species Homo sapiens. Next base: position 81,076,642 of record NC_000003.12, read on the forward strand.
ATATCTGGGGAAGATTTTTACATGGCCCAATGACTACAGAATGCTGCTGATATTTAACAAATGGGAGCCAAATATTCTAATCCCACCACATTGCAAAAAGTAGTCACATACAACAGAGAAATGCTACACGTCAAACGTCGATAGTGCCCCAGTTGAAAACAACTGAGAGAAAGTGTTTTTAATTAAAAATACATAGGCAGGCTTTGGGAGATGAGGGATCACCTGGAAATTAGTGTATGCTGTTATTCCCTCATCTTTCTTATAGAAGCCAGCCGCATTTCTCTGAAGAAGTTAGCAATTACTACCTTAAAGCACGATGGTTTTTGGTTGATAGTATACATAACTCAGTAGCTCTCAAACTTTAGCCTGCTTCTTAATCACCAGGTGGTCTTGTAAAAGTATGTATTGCTGGACTCCATCCTAGGGTTTCTGATTCAGTAGCCTGTCCAAGGTAGAATGGAGAACTTGCAGGTCTAACAAGTTTATATATAATGCTGAATACCATTGCTATAGTCGGTGGAGGGAAGAAGCAAAAACAAATACAAAATCAAGGAATGACACCTAGATATTTTCTCCTTGACTTTTTGTTTCATGGTTAGATGGAAGACAGGTGGAGGGGATGACACTAGAAGAAGTCTGGCAAGATATGGCAGTATTTTGGCTTATAAAATCTTTCTGAAAATTTCTTTCTCTTGAATGGGACATGGAATATAATATTACCTGATTTATGAATACTATGTGTCCAGTGAAATCATCTAAAATTCTTAGGCCAAATGTTCCCTGCTCTCCTTTAGGTAATCTCTTTTGTAGTCAGCTGTTACTATAATAGTCAGCATTCCCTAATATATGCTGAAAGGAACAATCTCAAAAACTTACTGGTGTATGTTTATTTCCCATTTATGTGGATATAAACAAAGACAAACAACGAGATGACAACAAACAAATGCTACTTATTCAGAGCTTGCTATAGCAAGAGAGTCAGCCACTATCATCTGCATTTACAGAGATTTACAGGCAAAGGAGCAGGAAAGCTTTAAGGTATAAAAAAGGGAAAGCTTGGGCCGGGTGCGGTGGCTCACATCTGTAATCCCAGCACTTTGGGAGGTCGAGGCAGGAGGATCACGAGGTCAGGAGATCGAGACCATCCTGGCTAACACAGTGAAACCCCGTCTCTACTAAAAATACAAAAAATTAGCCGGGCGTGGTGGCGGGCGCCTGTAGTCCCAGCTACTCGGGAGGCTGAGGCAGGAGAATGGCGTGAACCCGGGAGGCGGAGCTTGCAGTGAGCCGAGATAGCCCCACTGCACTCCAGCCTGGGCGACAGAGCAAGACTCCGTCTCAAAAAAAAAAAAAAAAGGCTGGGGTGGGGCGGTAGTTGGGGGAAGCTCAGGTATGCCTTGATTGGAGGCTCTTGGCAAGGTAAGTTGGAGGCAGGCTAACTAGAAATGGAGCATCATATTTGGTTGGTTATGGGAGAATATTTGCTTTCTTCTTGTTGGTCATAAGCTGGAAATGGGGGCAAAAATTAGAGAAAGTGTTAGTTATTGATGAAGCCCTGCTGTTTGGGGCTGATTGCTACAAAGGTTGTAGCTTGGCTTCTTTGGCTGGTTGCTACATCCAGGTTGTGGGGAGAGTTCTATTTTTATATGGGATCCTGCTGTTGTCCATTTGTATTTCAGTCTCTCACTTCCAGAACCTGTCAGCATCTGCAGGTCCAGATATGCTGCTGTAGCTCTACTCTGAACTATAGATAGGGTGTAAGTCTCCTCCTCCTAATTTTTGAACAGAACTGAGGCACTTTTTTTCTGATGACAGAGTGCACAAGAGCAAGAGAACTGTTGAAAACTCACAATATCTCTGCAATCTTCTAATCAGGATGCATTGGTTATGGCTGCTCACCATTCTATTGACCAAAGCAAGTCATGTGATCAAGATTAAAGAAAATAGAAAAATGCACAAAATAATTTCAAACACTATTATTATCTCTCAGAGCCACAAAATGCCATGACTACACAAATAAGGGGGAAATGGAGCAGGAAGTTGGGTTATTAGTATATGCACACAGAGATGTGTTAATAAAATCTGATTCTGAAGGATGTATTATTTTTACTAAAATTCTAGACCATAGATTATTCATGGGAGTTAACACTTGGTTATTATATCCCTCATTACATATGTTTATGTATTTTACATTATGCATAACTTTAGAAATCTGATCACCAATTGAAAATGTGAAACTATTCTAATCTGCCACAATTTTAGTTATGCATTCAATTTATTTTGTTTTTTACAATATTACAACTATTTGTTATTCCTTTTGTACTTAATTTCTCTGTGAAAAAATAAGGATTAAAAATATATTAACTATATAATAATAATTTCATATATTGCTAGTAGAATGATTCTAAGGCTTATATTTAACTAATGATTATAAACTTATACACAAGTATAGATGAATTTTTTTCTTTTTCATTTATAGTATTACTTTAGTGTTAAAATCATGAATTTAGTATTCATACTAAATGAGAAAGTCTTTCCAGTAAAATGTTTAGCACTTTATAGTTTTATCTTCTCTATTCTCTAAGCTCCGTGAAGTAAGCTTGATATCATCCATCTAAAATGAATGCCACTATAAAGAATAATGAGTAGGGAGGTAAACATACATAGCTATAGGAGAGTCTACAAAATACAGAATTAATAGAAGATCTAGTGTCATCTCTAGTTTATCTTATATATAATAAGCTGGAAAAGTTCCTCTCCTGTATGGACTGAAATTTCTCTTTTATCTGCAAACTGTGATCGATATTCAACCAGCCGGCAAGTAAACTAGTCATTAAGGTGTCCCTCAGCTTCAAACCCACACTTCCAAACTCTGGGGTACTACGGCTGGAACTCTGCAAACACACATTGCTTTGCTAGGGGATTCTTTGTTATGTTTTGCAAATATTAGAAACTAAAGGAAACCAGACAGCCCATGAAGGGCAAAGTTACTTGCTTCTTCAAGTTTTGTTTCCCATTCCTGTTAGCATCACCTCAGCAAAATCATTCACCCTGATAACAGAAGTGGATTCCACTAATATCAGTTGGCCACAGTTTCTCATTTGCGTCCCAAACTCTTAGAACCAGCCTCATGAAACAACCTCAGAGATACACGCCCAGCATGTTTTTTGAAAGTCGGAGCTGCAGCTGCAGAGAGCGGCATCTCCATATTTCTAGATTCTGATTATCTTAACCTATTCCTGTTGGTCTGCAAGTGTTTACAATGGTGGCTACTTTGTGTAGTTAATACCTCTGTGTTCTTTCTATTTTTATAATAATTTCACAGTAGAATTACTAAATAATTCTACTTAATAATTTTTATATACAATGTCTAATTTAGCATTTCACTCTACCAATAGCTATTTATACAGAATTGTTTATTAAATGTTCTCTATTAAAATAACTGGAGTGGTTCAGATTTCTTTACTGGAGTCTAGCTGATAAAAAGATAGTTGAATGCCGGGGGCAGTGGCTCACGCCTGTAATCCCAGCACTTTGGGAGGCCAAGGCGGGCGGATCACGAGGTCAGGAGATCGAGACCATCCTGGCTAACACGGTGAAACCCGTCTCTACTAAAAAATACAAAAAAAGAAAAAATTAGCCGGGCACGGTGGTGGGCGCCTGTTGTCCCAGCTACTCGGGAGGCTGAGGCAGGAGAATGGCGTGAACCCGGCAGGCGGAGGTTGCAGTGAGCTGAGATCGCGCCACTGCACTCCAGCCTGGGCGACAGAGCCAGAATTCGTCTCAAAAAAAAAAAAAGATAGTTGAATTAAAATTTTTCATTAATTAAAAAAAAACAAATGAAACCTTAGATTTTATTACTTCGATTATTTTCCTTTGCACCTAACAAAGGCCAGTTTCAAGCAGAAAGTAGCAGTTTATTAGCAGTTGGGATGAGAAAGAAAAACAAATAATCTCAAAATGTGAAAAGCGCACAGAAAAAGCAAGTCTTGGCATTCTGTTCTGGAGGTATTATGGAAATTAAAACACTGTTTATTCACAAAAAAGCAATAAAGCCCAAAATGTTTACATAGTTCCCCCAAACACTAACAAGCATTGATTGCCTCCTGCCTTCTTGTGCGCATGCCCATGTCATTGCCACATTGCTCTACCGTCTGGCCAAAAGCTTTGGCATTTCTCATAGCTTTCACCCTGTGCTTCATGTTACTTCCTTTATGTGGAGCCTCTTACATTTGTCCCTCAGAATAACTCCTCCACACCTGATAAGGCCAATTTGGAGACGTGTCCCAAACCCTCCAGTCAGTCCTGCCAGCTTCCTTTGCTAGGCTCCCTGAAAGCCTTATTAACATTTTTAAAATAAATCGGTGTACACACACACACACATACACACACCCACACGTGTGTATATATATATTTTATTCTAATTACATATTAGCTTATTGGTTTTCATTATAATTGAATTTTGCCAGGTTAGAAATCATGCTTTATCTATTCCTGTGACACTGTCTGACATGTAGCTGGTATTCAAAAAATGTTTTTTATATGAGAAAATAACTGAATATTAACTTACTTTATGACCACCTGCTAAATATGTTGACAAACTATCCACATTACAAACCCCACAAAGCAAATGTACATAAAGATTTCATACTTGGTTAACAGTTCAGGATTCCATTAAATTGTTTTCTGTTTATACAAAGATGCTGCCACCATTTCATAGCTAGGATTTAGGTCTAGTAATATGTTTAGGGGTAAAAAGACTGACTGAAAAACTAAACAAGAGAGGCAGTGGTTTGTGTGGATAAGCCGGCTGAAATGCGCTTTAGATTACTAATTGTATATGTACTAGATATTTGTTATCTAGTACATATAGAACTATCTCTCACTTCATGTGATTTTTCTGTTCAATTCTTCCAATCCTCAAGTGCCACAATAGCGTGGATTTGTTGTAGGCTCCTTCTGTGAACAACAGAGAGATTTTTCCTGAAATACATTCAGAAGTAAATATAATAAAAGGTTGGCTGGGCGCAGTGGCTCACGCCTGTAATCCCAGCACTTTGGGATGAGGAGGCGGGCGGATCACCTGAAGTCGGGAGTTCAAGACCAGTCTGACCAACATGGAGAAACCTCATCTCTACTAAAAATACGAAATTAGCTGGGCATGGTGGCGCCTGCCTATAATCCCATTTACTCTGGAGGCTGAGGCAGGAGAATCGCTTGAACCCAGGAAGTGGCGGTTGCAGTGAGCCAAGATCATGCCATTGCATCCCAACCTGGGCAACAAGAATGAAACGCTGTCTCAATAATAATAATAATAATAATAATTAATAATAATAAATAAATAAAAGGGTCAATCGAAATACTTATTTTAGAATCCCCCTAAATGCAAGAGAAAGTAGATCTTTATACTTTCCAAGATCAGGAAGTTTAACAATTAGGTGTGCCTGGATATGCTTGTGGCCATATTTCTCAGCACAGACGTGAACTTTCAGAAAATGAAGCACAACAGATGAAATAACCGCCGTGAGAGATGGAGAAAGAGAGAGAGGTGACGAATGTACGAAAAATGAAGGTTTCTAAAAATACAATTCGATCACTTGAGCGTAGTGATGCCTGAGTCTACCTAGCTCAAGTCTAAGACTTTGCTGGCAAGTGATTTTTAAATTTTGGGGGGATTAAGCTAGATGGAACTTTGTCTGGCTTTGACAGTAAGGGTCTTGATCGTACTGCTTTTTAATTATTTCCATTAGCATGGTTCTTTGAGAACTTATGAAATAGTTTATATGACTTTACATCCTACAATATAGTAGTTAATTGTGAAAATCCATAACTCAGGATTCACTTCAGATATATTAAGTAGTACTTATTCACATAACCAACAAATTCTCATAAAATCTAGAACCAAATGAATCTTTGAACAAGTGTAATAATTTCATACATTATATTTTGGAGAGACGGATTATTAACTTAAACTTCATGTATCCAGTAAGTTTGAGCTTCCAGCTTCACAGTGTAGACTACAACAATGATGAAGAGAACATATAAACTTCTTGCCTATGTTGATTTAAAATCTGCATTTGTTTTATTCTGGTTTTGCTAAGTTATTCATTTTTAATTGACAGGTAAAAACTGTATATATTTATATAATATACAACATGGTGTTTTGAAATATGTATACATTGTTATTTAGATACACACTAAGAATGGCTAACACCTGCGTTACCTTACATACTTATTTTTTGTGGTTATTACACTTAAAATCTACTTTCTTAGCAATTTTCATGAATAAAGTACACTTTTATTAACTACAGTCACCATGTTGTAGAATAGATCTTTTGAACACAATCAACATTCATGTAATGTCTAATCTTAACACAATACTGAGCAAGCATACTCTTTCTTACATTTGACAGTTCATCGTATGTTTGAGTACAGCTATTTTTTCTTCTGTGTCTTCTTAATTCTAAGTTAAACAGCTCATATTCCTCAACTATTCCTTTTGAAATAAAATCCAGAGTATCTGCCATTTTCCTTACTTCTCCTGGGTGCTCTCTGTTTTCATTATGTCATTTTTCTCCTAAAATGTATTGGATGTGCTTCTTCTAAATTGAAAGCAATTTGCAAAATGTTTTCTACCCAGATTAGCATATAATGAACACATTACTAATCATGACTAGGATACAATATAGTTATTGGTGCAGTCAAAGTCTGTGTTATATTTTAAGTGTAATTGAACAATATTGAACTGCGGTCAACTAAAACCCACAGATCATTTACACACAAATTGCGCCAAACACGGAGCTTTACTAATTCACATGAAGATGTGGAAAACTAAGCAATTCATCTACTTTCCTCTATTTGCTTTTGTGCATATTTGGTTATTAAGAAGTATGGATCAAGTAATAAACTATTTAGAACTATAATTTTGAAGGTCTTTAGCAGATTATTTTACAAAGATCATTTAATGTAAGTTGGCTGAAATAATTAGCATGAATATGTAATGATCAAACAGCTAGAGGACTGCCGTTTCATTTTTAACTGAATTGTGTAGTTGTGTTTAATTCATTAAATTAATTAAATAGGTTAATACTATTGTAGACTCTACATTTAATATGTATTCTGAGAGCTAAATTTTCATTACCACATATTTTATGTTATGTGATGATAAAATCTAAAAATGCTTAGTTTATAAATTGTGTAAAATAAACAAAGGCATGAATTATTACAAGAAATGCCTCAACAGTAAAGAGGACAATTAATAAAATGTTTAGACACACATGAAGAAAAAATACAAAATACATACAACTGTAGGATTACATATTTTTTCAAACAACTTTATAACATGAAAATATTTCTATTATTAAATAGTCTTCAAAATTACAAATTTTAACTAATAGACCAGGATTTCCTGTGCCTTAGTAATCAGTCTTACAAGTTTGTGGCCTATTTTTTTTTTAATTATTGTTTCTAGCTGAACCGAAGGGAGTTACAGAACAGGACTTATGGCTGTTCTGAGAGCCTTTTAGTATGATGATTCCAAAATATCTGGATAACAGAGCTATTTGTCTAGTGCCTTATGCTAAGTTAGGAAAATCTTTGGATTCCTTGTTAGCCAGTAGAATCTGAAAGTGACAAATACTGACTGACTTCATGCCTGTTTGCACTGTACTCCATTGTACTCTGTAATCTTAATGTATAGCCCATCCCTGGAGATGGATGAAGCATAGCTGGATGAGCTGAGGTGGTCTCTGGTACAACACCCAGATCCATTTCTGTGCTGTATTTTGTCAGCTTAATTTATGCCAGCTTGGACCTGGATGGTAGCAGTGGAGCATCCATAAAGCATCAAATGTTCTTAATCTCTCAGACCTATTATCCACAAGAGTGTATCTCATAGTCATGCTTGTTTGAGACCAGGAAATTGGCACTTTCTTTGTGGCATGTTTCTGATTATGCGGCCGTGTCTCCTGATTATATTGATTTCCTTCAAAATCTTTTGGCATTTAAACTGTGTTTGATTTATTGCCAGGAGATCTACATTTATTACTTGTATCAATATGAGCTCATCATGGAAATTTTTCCATTTAGTAGTCATGTATTTGTACATTAAAAGGTGCAGTGTGCAAAAGAAGGGAGAAGGGAGATTTTCATTTCTCATAAAAATCTCAATTAATAACCCCATCATGCAGATATGACAAATTATGAAATAATTTATTTTCTTGTCATTGTTTTAGATTTTACTTTCTGTTTAGTTTTTGTGTTTGAAAAAAAATGAGAATTTATGCTGTTATCTGCCAGATGATAGGAGAAATTTTTTTAAGTGTGTTATGAAAGGATGCAAAATACATCATACTTGATGAACCAAGACCATTTTAATCCCAGAATATTCTGTGCTATTTGAAGTGCACTGTTATAAGTTCTAGTCTAGTAAATAAGTTATATTATCCTTTCTAAATAATTATGTAGCCTTTTAATAATTCTAAATAATTATTTCCCAAGGAAAACTAAATCCTTACATCAAGTGGGCAACCATTGGAGTTAAGAGGTGTGGCTTCCTAAACATGCCATCCTGCTGAGACTCTGACTGACGTAGAATATGTTTTTGGATACCTAGACTTGCCTTTTTTCATCATAAGCAATGGATGAGATGAATATAATACTTGGGAATACATTGTTATACTATTCAAACCTCTGACATTTCTGCTGTTTTTTGGCTTCTAATACGTGTTTAGGTCTGAAGCCAGCCTCATCATTTTTTATCTTATTTCCTTCTTTTTTAATATATTGATTTTAATATATTTATATTTTTTATGCTCAAAATTCATATGTTCATTAGATAGTTTTTATATGTGAATCACCTAATTCTATGTTGTATTGGCAATCCCTTTCTATCTTCGTAATTTGTCATTTCTTCACAACAGTAATAAAACAATTAAAAACTGTCTTTTTTATTATATATTTGATTATTGAGTTTGCTCAACTTCCTTCTTCAGGAAAACCAATATTTTGAACTTTGTATCTGTTCTCTTTCCTATATCTCTATCACCTTATTATCATTTTTACTTCTTATTTTTCTACTTTTTTGACTTTCAATGACATTTCTATGTTTTAATTTTTCTAGGGTAAATAATAATTATGCTATTCATTTGTAGTTTTCTTATTCTTCCTTATTTCATCTATCTTCATTTTTCTATCTCTTTTTACCAACACTTTCTCCAATTCAATTGTCCTCCATCTCTTCTATTGTCTCCCTTATGTGAATCCAAGCCTTAATACTATCTGACAACACAAAGTAAATGCTTTCCAAATTTTTCTTGTAGTCAATCCTTTCAAGAGATTATTCTTCTCCAACTTGAATCATTATTTTCTCCTTTTCCAATAAATAATCTTGTAAGAGTTCTCACTTTTATTTATTTTCAGTATACTAATACTTCAACCAGAAATATCAGTTCTAGTCATATTTTTGTCTATAAACAAGGTGGAATTCCTTGTTTCTCCTCTTTTTGTATTTTGATGTCAGAAAGTACTCCTTAAGTGATTACCCTGGAAGACTTGGAGACATGTATAACTCATCACCAAATTTCAAAATAGCAGCAATCATTCAGTATTGTGTGGCTGGATGATTAAGGAATGTGTTGTTTCCACTTTCTGGATATCTTAAACACTCTGAATTTATCCTATTAAAGAGAGAGGGAAGGAGATTGAATATGAATAATAAGCAAGAACACCCAGGGAACAGCTTCCCCACGATTTTCCCCACATATATTCTCCGTACTTCTCAATCCACATGTCCTATGTGAACTTCCAAGACCTATCCATTTCTACCTCAGACCTGTATAGTATTTCTGGGAACTACTATCTAAAAGTGATGGGGAAAAATGTTATGGTTGTGTAATAAGGTGGAAGAACAAACAGTGGGTCATAGATGGTGGTTCTCAGCAGTTAAGTGGCACATTTCTTGGTGGTGTAGACCAGGACTTTCTTACCTTCACAGATATATTTGGTCAGGTTTACATAGTCCTTTAAGCTAATTTTTTGTTTCTGTTTTTGTTTGTTTTTACATTTTGAGTTACCTTAGACAAGCCATGTACTCACTTGCTATATAATCCCAACTTTATGAATGAGAATAAAGTCTGATTTGCAGGTTTCTGTTGTCTGCGGCTTCTGGTGGGTATTTGAATTTACAATCTCAGGAAAGACCTCAAATTTACAGGAGAGGGCCAGCAAACTTAATTATGCCATATCTGGAGCATCAGCATGGTGCATTCATTTGAACACATTTTGGCCTAACAAGTTTTGTTTGGCCTAACAAACTTTCACTAACAAGTGAAAGTTTCTCTCCCAGATTTTAGTGATAGAGCAGTTTTTTAGTGTTAGTGTTCAATATAATGATAAAATTTTGTCTCCTGTTGAGCTATCCTTAGATATTTTAGTTGGAAAATAAAATAGTTAAATCATAAACTTGAAAACAATTCAATTTCTAGAAATTTCCTTCAAGGCAAATTTAATCAATTCTCCTCACTTCGTAGATTTATTTTAAGAGTTTCAAATTGCCTTCCCAAGGTTATATTGATATTTATGGTAGGCCTCAATCTAGGGACAACATTCTTTCCACACTCTGCACATGTCAAATATTTCATATGGAGCTTGTTATTTTGCCAGTCTTGTCCAACTTTTAAGGTACTTTTTATATTTATTATTTTCCCCTTAAGGGCATCCATGGAAGTCATTATGTGAAAATTCATGTAATTCTAATAAAATAAAAACCAGTTTAGATAATTTTTTAAAATTTTATTTCTAAAACACTGTTGCTAATCAATTATTCTATTTTTTTTAAAGCTAAAGTGCCTCAGGTTGCTCAATAGTAGGTGATTTCTTAAATTTTCCAGTGAAAATATCCAAAATATTTTTTGTCAATCTATGTAGGTAAACATGAGAGGTGCTAATATTTCTTATGATATTTATTAATTTGGTTATATATTTGACATGTAAAATTATAATTAACAAAATTTTTAAAAGAAAATTATGACATACAAAAATACAAATAAACACGTGTCAAAGAAGTAGTAAAATGTTACAACCAGTTCAAAGATCATCCCAGAAGCTAGGATATTTACAGTCAAAGTTAGGATAAGATTGCCATATTAGATAAAAACTGGTTGATATCCAAAAATGTCACAATTCTCTGGTTTATTTGTTACACTGGATGGAAATTATTTTGCAATTCTACCGTACAAAAGTCTACGAGTTCACAATTAACCTCACTATTTCTATAGCACTTAATCAATATTAAATAGTGAGTTTAAATACATTCCTTAGAAAATTTTTTGTGGCTTTTCAATTCATATAACATTGAAGAATGTACTGACTACCTTTCTTGTCTTATTTACAAATTTTGGACAACGTTTTCTGACATACCAATTTCAAATTGTAGTTTTCCACTAATATTTCATAAAGCAGTTTATCTCATATGAACAATTTTATTTCAATCAATGTCTTTATGATTATTTGGGCAGGTTGTGGGGTGTAAAACACATTTCTTTAAATCACATCATCTTTATTTCTCATTTGTTTTCAATCCAAAGCATTTTGAATCTATTATTTTTGTTGTTCCTTAGCAGAAGGACCCTCTTCTTATTTGTGATCTCCAAAACATAACCATTTACTTTATTACCTTAAGTAATCCACAAAAATTTTCTTTGCAGCAGCAACATTTGAATTTGTGAAGTCAGAGTCAGAAATAAATCAATCTACATTAATTCAATTTCTTTGCTCTTCACAATTTTTCTAATCACTGTCTTGCATGTTCTTTATAAGGATTCAAAATTAGCATAGATCAAAGACATTTTTTGCTAATGTGTATTCCCAATACATCTTTATTAACAACAATAATGTAATTGAGATATTGTCCCCATAAAATAAAAATACAGAAATTAAAACTAAAAGTCTTTCTCAAGATTTATGAGAGTTAATTTTGGGGCCAAATAATAATTTCCATTAATTTTGACATTAACAAAATTTTTTTCAACTAATCTTTTTGACAGAGCAATTTATGGGTGATGCCTGTTACTCCCCCTCTTCCCCAGAAATAACAGGGACATTTTTGATGCTCTCAAGATTAATTGTTAAGTTCACTTAAGAGTTTACTAATTTGTGAATTATACTTTATCCTTAAAGCCAGTGTCATTTGTTTAACCCTTTGTTTACTGTTTAATCACTCCTTTTAGAATAGTTTCAAACTATCTATTTACAAGATCACAAAATTTTTGTCTTATATCTTTGAGAGTTATGTCTTATATTCAACATTTTAACACAGTAGTAAAAAAATCCATGATATATGTTCGAATAACATACCTATTTATTATGATCAATGTTTACAAAAGAGATCCTGGAATTAAACAAAAGATACCCTAGTGTCACTAATAGATACCTGGTAAAATTATCACAATTTTAAAGAAGATGTTGATGTTTTATACCATATGAAAATATTCATTGATTATTAATTATGGTGCTGATAAGTACTACATCTAAGTCTACACGTACCCTAAGATAATGAAAATTTTACATAAATAGCATTTTGAATGACCATAATGTATAAGAAGGTTTGGAGAGTATCTCTGGACTATCTATTATACCATCCTTTCTTCTTTTTGCTTCTTATCACTCAGTACTCCCTTTCAGTTACTGGATTGTGAAAGATGATAAGACCAAAATTTTAAATACATACAGCAATTGGTAGATCCAATAAATAAGACAGCTAGCTACTAATACTCAGTTTACACCAGGGGGTCAGAATCTGCAATAAGGGGCCCCTAATGTTCCATCGTAATTTACTTACAATTAGACGTATGCTTTATTTCTGCTATTTGCTAAGGCTTACAATTATAAACTTTTAATAAAGTCAGAAAAGGAACTGGACTTCTCTGTAGCTCATTAAATCCATTCCATTTTACTTATATGCAGGATTTAAGTACACTTTATTGTCGGTAGTATCCACACTAGTTTTACGTGACAACTGAAAGCCTAACAGCCCATGGTTTATCTCATAACAATTTCCTGTTCTGTCCCAGATTGATATATCTTTGCAAATGATCTAGCTGTATCTCCAAGGCTGTTTTACAAAGGCCTATTATTACTCTGATTTAGTTGTTTCGTCAATTTCCAGACAACCAGTAATACGGCAAACACATTCACATGCTAATATGGCCTCAAGGACATACCTGAATTTAAAGTCAAGTAATCACACTACAAAATAAAACTTTCTTTTCTTCTGAAAGGTGGTGCCTTTCTTATACCAGGCTTAATAATCAAATGACTATTGCATTAATCACGGGTAGTCTCTAAGATATGAAAAATTAGATTTTAAAAAAATTTCTTACTCTCATCCATTAAAACCTAGACACAAAATAAATGTTTAGATTCCATAGTGTAAATTGCACATTAATGTGTCTTCAATTACGACTTTGATAACTACCCATAATATAACTGATCTCAAAGTGAGGGCACAAATCCTTTGAGAATTCAGAGATTTAAATTATTTTTGTTCCCCTACACCATGCCTTCATCTCTGTGTTTGCAACTATGCCTCTCTCTCTCTCTCTCTAGAGTTTGAGAATGAAACAATGCCATTCTTTTCAAATTTGTTCTTCTTCATGGAAGGCTCAACATATGGTAAATTTCTGAGATTGAGTGATTTTCATTTGTTTTTTTAAAAAAAAAACTTCACATTTTCTTAAGGGAATATGTGCAAGTCTAAGATATTGCAATACTCTGGCATGGAATAACAAGAAAAGGAAGCTACAAGGATAAAATATGCTTGGAGAAAGAAAAAGAATATAAGGCAATCTCAAATTTGTATATAAATGTGAATACAACACTGTGATCAATTTAATATGTTAAAACAATTGAGGAAATTTTTTGACTATAAAAATAATCAGGAAAAGCAGAAAATCTTGGACATGGGCAAAAAGGATTTCTGGGTTTTCTTTCAGTGGCATGCCAGTTGTTGCCTAAGAGACTCTGGGGATCATCTGATGCTATTGGGGTGTGTACCACTTAATGTCCTTGACTAAGCTATTAATAGAATTTAACTTGCAGAAAACTGAGAGTAATGCACATTCTTCATGGTCATAGCGATGAAATGGCTCTAATTCAATGCTGATGGAAATCAATTTTAACTGGTAGAGCAGTGGTCCCCAGTGTTTTTGGCACCAGTCACCAGTTTTGTAGAAGACAATGTTTCCAGAGACAGGGGGCAGGGGTGGTGGTTTCAGGATGATTCAAGCACATTACATTTATTGTGTACTTTATTTCTATTGTTATTACATTGTAATATATAATGAAATAATTATACAACTCACCATAATGTAGAATTAGTGGGAGCCCTGAGCTTGTTTTCCTATAACCAGAAGGTCCCATCTGGGGGTGATGGGAGACAGAGACAGATCATCAGGCATTAGATTTTCAAAAGCTGTGTGCAACCTAGCTCCCTCCCATGTGCAGTTCACAGCAGGGTATGAGAATCTAATGCCACTGCTGATCTGATAGGAAGCAGAGCTCAGGTGGTAATATGAGTGATGGGGAGTGGCTGTAAATACAGATGAAGCTTCGCTCACTCACCCACATTGTTCACCTCCTGCTGTGCAGTCCATGGCCCAGGGATTAGGGACCCCTGTGGTAGAGGATGTAAATCTCTGTGATTCAAATCTTTATTTTACTGACTTTAAACTCTTTCTGGTTCCCTCAGTAATCAGAGTTCAAGATTGACATATGCATATTTTATATTTGTATGAGAACAATGGTTTTAACATTTTATAAACTCAACTTTTACTAATTACTACAATTATGTGTGTCAAGAATAAAATAAAAATTAAGAAAGATTATGTTTAGCCCCTAATATGAAAAAGTTACTATTTGCCAGATCATGTGACTATAGACAGTCTAAGTTATTCTTACAAACCAGTTACATTTAAGAAGTTGTGGCTTGAATGAATCAAGTATATTTTAACATAAGTGATTGACTATATTGGAAACAGACTTCATTTTTCTTTATTTTGCCTTTGGAGTATTCTTTCATCCAGTTTCATTTTATCCTAGTTTGTGCTCTCACAGTCTTCATTGCTTTGGTAGATCTGTGTCTGCTTTTGTTGAGAGGACTTGTCCAAGAAGGATGAACAGTCAGTGTCAGTGTCAGAAGACACCAGGAATGCTGTGCAGTGGGGATTGATCTAAAGTCAAATTGGCCTAGCAGATTCTAATATAAACTGCATATTGTACTGTTCTTATAGTTTTCGTTAAGGCTGAGTAAACACAACTTTAAATAATGATAATAACAAAAGTAGCCATCTTTTCTGTAAATTGGAAGGGGACTATACAAAAGGGTAAAATGCTGACAGGTGGTCAGCAGTAACTCCTGGACAAAGTAAATATGGGTGGCTGAAGCTGCATGAGACACTCCTCTGACTAATGGGGAATAGAAGCCTGGTCAGAATACTGTTGATGCCTATGCAGATATAACAGAGAGAGAGGAAATTTCAAAGGGTAGCCTCAGGTTTTCTTGAGCCAAGCATATTTGGACTTTATTTTTGTGACCTCTTTTGTTTCCATTAACTGCTCAGGACTAAAGGACAATCCTTGAGATTATCACAAAGAGCTGAGATGTCTCCCGTTATATGTGCACAGACCCACAGTGGGAGAGATTGCTAGACCTGTGATTTAAATCAAATAGTTTTTATTAAAAACTTTCTCCAATAACTAATAACTTTCACTAAAGTTCTTTTTATTATCCATTATCAAAGTTCCTAACTGCAGCAGCAGCTGAAGTTAAAACTAATATAAAAGTTGCTTTGTTGAGTTTTTTCCTTTCTATTTCTCTCTTATATTTGAGCAGCATGAACAAATTTTTACAATTTTGAAAATATGTATTGATGGATCCTGGCAGCATTCAACTGAGGGATAAGAATAAGAACACTCATGGAATAAAATAATTTAAGAAATTCAAGGTTGTATGCAAATTTATGAAGCTATGTAATATCTTGCTTCATGAATCTATTTCTTTAAATATTTTCTGTGAAAATATAAAAGAGAAAGCTTTTATACCTATAGTGTTTTCCTTAAATAAATTATCATTTTGGAAGAATTTTTATATTTAAATGTAGATGCCCTAAGGAAGGATTTATCTTAGTTCCAATAATTAAACATATTAAATTGCATATAATGGGTAAGATATTGTGAACTAAATTATTAGGTGAGCTGCCTCATGTTTTATGTGGAATACCTTTCATAGTAGTTTTCATGTTAATGCCTGGCAAAATGATTTTTGTGATTTGAAAGCAATAAACATTATTTGCAATTTATGATCAAGTTATTCATCTATCCACTCAATGTATTTTTAGTGAGCTCTAGTTTGGTTCAAGCATTTTTGTTCTGCCTATGGGACAGGGCAAAGATAAAAGTGGGATTAGAAAAGCACGTAGTCTAGGCTGAGCAAAGTGGCTCACACATGTAATCCCAGCACTTTGGCAGGCCAAGGCAGGCAGATTGCTTGAGCCTAGGAGTTCGAGACCAGCCAGGGCAATATGGTGAAACCCCACCTCTGCAAAAAATATAAAAAATTAGCCAGGTTCAGTGGCACTTGCCTGTAGTCCCAGCTACTCAGGAGGCTGACAGATGGGAGGATCCCTTGAGCCCAGGAGGTCAAGGCTGCAGTGAGTGGAGATTGCGCCACTGCACTTCAGCCTGATTGACAGAGTGAGACTGTCTCAAAAAAAAAAAAAAAAAGAAAAAAGTAAAAGGAAAACATGTACTCCTGACATCATTCATGGTAGAGACAGACATATATGCCCCAACTATTTTTCAAATTCTAGTGTAGTTTGTACATTAGAATAATGGAAAACAGTGTACTATGAGGCCAGAAAGAAGGAAGAAATTAATACCAACAAGGATAACTTATAAAGACTTCAGGAAGTAAGGGGAAAATTATCTGAACTGCAAAGATAGGTGTAAGTTTATTGAGCAGAGATGTAGGGAGAGAGGGTGAATAGGCACTAGCTAGGAAGAAGTACACCACAGAGACAGAGCCATAACCATACACAAGGAGTAGAGAGACTAGTAAGAAATTCAGGATGACTGGAGGGTTTCGTATGTATATTGCACATATGAAATGTACGGGTGGGATAGGTGGCTGAATGCTTAGATTGCTGAGAACATTGCATGCCAAAATAAGGAATACTGATAAAATTAGTCCACAGTGGGAGCCACTAAAATTGTTGGTCCATTGTGAAGTGATGTAACAGAGCCTCAAATTTGCATAAATAAGAGGATTATGAATATGGTATTATTCTCACAAAAATGAATGACTAGTCCAATAACTCAAAAACAGTAAATTACAAAGCTGGTAGTAGAACTTAAATCTTGCCAGTACAACAGTTCAAGTCTATCCCGGTTATATATAAATTGGAAAAGTTTCCTTAAATATCAGGCATATTATTTTCATTGATATTTTTAATCTTCCAAAGAAGATTAAAAAAATTATCTGGAATAAATGCCAAAAAATTATTTTTAAATGTATTGCTCCAGAGATATTCAATGAAGTATTAATTTCAAGTTTTTGCACATAAGACTAGAATAGAAATATTGAATAATACTAACAAGTATGTTAAGACAAATAATGAAATCTATTTTAACTATTTTTAAAAGATTCTCTATTATATAGAAAGAAAGGTCATGGAACTCAGTACCCAAAATAAATTATTGAAATTTTCTTTAAACTAACAATGTATATTTAGAATATGTTTTCTGTATTTTAAACATTGTACTCTAGATCATTATCTTTCCATACTAAAAAGCTAACTCCTGTCACAAATATTATACATTTTATGCCTAAAAATATCTAAATATATGTTTTAGTTTTACATTTTATGTGGGAGTCAAAAATGTCCTAAAGAAAGGCATCTTTTAAAATTTCTTAAGCATTTCCATTTTTCTACAAAGTCCATGTTACACTTAGGTTAAAAAGAAGAATGAAAACCCCTCAAGCCAGATTTTATGACTTTTTATATCACACTGAAAAGTCCAATGAACTACAGATTTCAACCATGGAGATTTGTGCCCTACTATGAAACGGTCAGTATTATGAAAACTGCCATTATATTTTATGATGCTATTTGACCTCTACATAGGTACTTTCATTATCTGACAATAATATTCAATTTGCAAAACTAGCCCTAGTCATTTTAAGCGCCCAGCATGCAGGAAAGCATTAAGCATTTTGTGTTGGTTTTTATAGAGGGCCTTGTAGTGACCAGACTGGTACCTTCCATTTTTCTCTTTTAATAGTTGGGTTGCTGATCTCACAAATTATATTTCGGTTGGAAATGAAAGGTCCACCGCTGCCAGCATTTTGTTAGAAATAATGACACACTTTACTACCTGTAAGTGCTGACTGAGTGCTTCTGCCTTTTCTTCCCAAGGTGACTGTAACACAGATTGATGAAAGATTCTGCAGGACGACAAAGGTTAAAGATGTAGACCCGGAGCTAGAAGCCAGCACTGACACTGATGGAGTGGACTGCGATGAGAATGCCCACATTATTGTCCTATCCTCTGATAACCAATGTAATATGAAAACCGACTACAGAAGAAAGGAACAAATTAAATCCATTAATCAAGCATATCTCTGCTAAACAGTTGTTCGAAACTGATGAACAAATGAAAAATTTACTGTTTGTTTTCATGCTTGCAAGGATTGGGGAAGAAAATTAATTATAAGGTACTGGCCACACTATCAGTAAAGTTTTTCTTGAGGAAACTATTGCTTTGTCAAAGGACAAATGAACCTCATTAGGGAGATTAGTTTCAGCTGGTAGTTTTGCATTAGTACAAACTAATAATACACACTTCAAAAGATACCCTGAGTAAGATTATGAAAATTGAAATCCATTTGTTACTTCTTAATTTACTAACTGTTAGAAAATGACCACTCTATTACTTATCATGAAACCAGAAGGAAATCAAACACTGCTCACCTTTCAACTAAGTGCCTGAAAGAGAACTGTTGCAGTGTGGGCTTTGTGAGTGCTGCGATGATGAACTTACGCATACAGGGGTTATAACTTGGCCACGGCATTTTACTCTTAGGTTGAAGCATGTCATGCAGAGCTCCATGCCAAACGCAATTTTTGATAAGCTTCTTTGAAATCCTTTTCTTTTCAAATGTTTTAAATGAATTGGACAAATAGCAAACTGACATCTGATATTCTGAATTCCCCTTAAATCTATACAGAGCAAGAACAGAAAAGAGAAAACGCTACTTTGCTATCAATCCTGTATGGCCAGTGCACTGAGGCTCCTAAGCTGGCCACAGTGAGTGCAGTCCAGCTTCAATGTTCATTGAATCCCTGGCCTTTCTGTCAAGGCAGCTAAGAACAGAGCCAATCACTGCTCTCGGTGACGGGGAGTGCTTGGCTGCAGACACACGTCTTCCAAAACCTGGAGTGAGACCAGTCTCATTCCAAAGAGTGTATAAATCAGCTGTGAAATAATAATGACTTTTTTGGGTTCTACTGACCCGGCCTGGATTCAGACTGCTGACCCAGAAAAGAAAGGCTTCACACATCCCATTAGCAGTCCTTTCAGCCATTGAAGACATCCCCATCCAATTCTGACTTTCTTTCCTTTACAGCAGTCTTGCTCTTTTTTACGGGCATGTAAACCAAATTGACGTTTACTTACTGCTTTTGTTTGGTTCCTTGATGTAACTTCTCTAATTTAACAGCAGCTTTCCAGGCATAGCGTTTGAATGAATCAGGCCAAATAACATTAAAGTTCACTTTCTCAAAGCTTAAACTCTGTTACCGAGAAAAGATGGGGGTAGAGTTTTAAAGTATTCTTCTTAGTATAAAACTAAACGTTTTTCTCTAGACATATTGTCTCGTGATATTTTTAAAAGCCAGCATTATTTTTTTTTCAGGAAAGTTAAGTCAGTCTATAACAGTGATTCCACGGTTTACCCTGTTGTCCTGGAGTGGGTAGGAGCTTTCAGGAGTAGCTAAGGGTTTTCTTTTTCCAAAGTAAGTGTGTCAAGTTGAAAGAAAATTACAGGTTGTGGGACTGAGAAGTTAGATAATATAAGGGCTCTTCTAATGAAAAAAAAAAATCCAAATTTGCAAATACTAAACAGATGTCTTAGTTTGAGTTTTCCGAAGCAAATTCCAAGAGGAGAATATGGGTACAATTTGCTTATATGAGAAGTGATTCCAGAAGCACAACGAAATCATGAAGTGGTGACATGGAGACGGAAGAAAGCCAATAAAAGGGTGGTAAACAATGAGGAATACCACTCTGAGCAATTGGGGCTCAGTCTTGCTGTGGGGCCCTCTGGAAGACATTTTAGATAACGCCTCAGGGTGCCAAACCAGGAGGCAAACACTGGAGTGTATACTACTCCTATTCCTAACAGACTGAGGATTGTTCCTGGGGGTAGTAATTTCCCAGCATTTCCAGCCTTCTCTGTCTTTGCATATGTTCATGGGCAGTGTATATTCCTTAGAAAACCCTAAGGAAGGGAAAGGCTTAGGTGGAAGCCATAGACGTGTACAGGAGCCATCCAGCAAAGCCCCCGTTGAGCTCCAGTGTAAGCTTAGGGTAGAGAAGGATACTAGAAACATGTGACAGCTTCTCCACTAGATATCAAATTGAATATTTAATTAAATAAATCACAACAAATCCCAAATATTAAAAGATGACAAATGTGGTCATTTCATACTCACCAACATGAAGGTCGGTATGACAGAGGAGAAGTCAGGAGAGGTGTGATAACAGGCCTAAATGACTGCTGCCAAGAATCTTATTGTTGCAATAGTAAAATAATAAAGATAATGACAATAATACCTTATGAGCACACTGCTACAGTCTTTCTCAGTGTCTCAAAAGAAATCTGTGTGAGAGCCCCTCAAACGTGGGCTTCAAAAACTTCTTGGTAAATTTCCCATGGCTGCTATTACTGAGTTTCTCTAATATCCTATGTATGTGTAGCTCTGAAATTAAGTTGAATATCATTTTTCAAAGCATTTCTGAACAGCAAGAATAACAACAATGAAAAATAGAAAAATCACTCAAAACATTTATTTTAATATATGCACATACTTATGATAATTGATAAGCCATAATTTTTTACAGCCTGGTTTATTATCCCAGGTGCTACTGACATTTTGAACTAAAAAGTCCTTTGGTCAGAAACAGGGGGGCTGTCCTGTGCATTTTAGGATGTTTACAAATATTAAACAGATGCCCTAGTTTGAGTTTTCCAAAAGGAAACTCCAGGAGGAGAATATGGGCACAATTTGCTTATATGAGAAGTGATTCCAGAAGCACAACAAAGCCATGAAGTGGTGACTTGGAGAAGGAAGACAGCCAATAAAAGGGTCATAAACAATAGGGAATAGGTGACACGGAGAAGGAAGACAGCCAATAAAAGGGTCATAAACAATAGGGAATACTATCCTGAGCAAATTATCCCTGACCTGTCCCCACCAGATACTGATACATGTACCAGTACTACTAGATACACATCTTCCCCAGTTTAAAGAAATAAAAGAAAGTCTCCAAACACTGACAAATGTAAAAAACAACAACAAAAAAACACCTCCTGTTAGAACGACTGATTTAGAACACAGAAAAACTTGCAAACTTAAAAAAGCAGTTCATTTGCTTATACACCTTATGTCTCCCTCTATGCTACTTATGGATTTAGAAAAATTCTCTAATTCAGTCTCTTTTAGTATTCAAACAAGCATAGTATTGTGTAAATGAGAAAATGTTCTTAACGACTAAACCATAAAATATTGTTAAGGATATCAAGAAATGAAGATACTTTAAGGAGCTACCTATCATCCCACATTAATCGACATACCAGAAAACAAAGAATATATCCTATATTTAAACCATTCTAAAAAAGAACCCAGGTATCCTACTAATTATTTAACATTGTAAGTAACAATGGTAAGTTAAGTGCAATGTTTAATATCTCTCTGGTACAATATAAGATTGTTATGATATGTGATATGTATATAAAAAGTATTTAATATGATATTGACTAATAAAAATAGTCTTTTTATCTTCTGCAAAACCATAAGTGTATGGAAAACATTACATTAAGCTTAACTAACATTTAAAAAAACAACTACAGTGGAAGGATCACTGAGCCCGGGAGGCGGAGCTTGCAGTGAGCCAAGATCACACCACTGCATTCCAGCCTGGGAGACAAAGTGAGACCCTGTCCCCTCTAAAAAACAAAAACAAAAAACAAAACTACCGAATTCTATAAAACTTTTCCAAGCTCTTAAAAGTAAGCACTTTTACACAAGATAAACTTTCTGCCCTCAAGAATAAACAATCAAGTGAAGGAAGAAATACAAGTTTGTGGATTATAGCAATATAATTCAATTTTATAGTGCCAAATAATGCTATTTCTCCCTAATAGTATTCTGCGATAAGAGATCCTTGGAGATGTTAAGAGGTGACAAGAAAAAGTTAAATAATTTTACACAATGGAAAGCATATTCTCTTCTCAGAGACATTCACATTGTTATATAAAAGGCTCTGGAAGGTTTGTCAGAAGAAACGTATATTAAAGTTTTTCTAACCCAACATTTTACAAGTAATTTGAGCAGAGAACGATTCTCTCACAACAAGATCAAGATGTGGTGGCTCATTAAATCAGAAATAAATGTATTAAATAATTTAATTTCCACTGAAAGATGAGAATACGCATAAAGAGAGAAATTCGAATTTTAAGTGGACATTATAAAATGGGGAATATTTTGCCGTAGAGGAATGTGGATGGAAACCACCAAAGGTATAAGAAATACCAAGATTAGAAAATGCTGGTCAGGCTGGGCACTGTGGTTCATTCCTGTAATCCCAACACTGGGAGGCCAAGGAGGGATGATCACTTGGGCCCGGAAGTTCAGGATCATCCTGGAAAATATGTCAAGACTTCACCTCTACCAGAAATTTACAAATTAGCTGGGCATGGTAGAATGTACCTGTAGACCTAGCTACTTAGGTGGAAGAATCACTTGAGCCCAGCAGTTCAAGGTGACAGTGAACTACGATCAGGCCACTTGATTCCAGTCTTGGCAACAGGGTAAGACCTTGTCTTTAAAAAAATAAAAAGCAAAAAATAAAATGCTAGTTATATTAGGAAAAAGCCTGACTGAGGTCCAAATGCATGTGGAAGACTGTTTCAGCAAAGGTAACATCCCTCTATGCCACAGCTTGATTGAATTTTAAATAAAGATGATGATAAAATGTACATTTATTAAGGAGATAATTGATGTAATGTGCTCAGTACAAGTTTTGGCATATTACAAGCATTCAATAAACCCTACATCTTATTATCATTAAAATATTAATACATATTGTCTGAGCATCACTACTTTTTTCTGGAAAATAGGGCTATAAATACACTGGAATCCTCACAAAGCTATTACAAATTTCAGGTGGTCTGCTCTATGTAAAAGTGCTGGTAAGTGGAAAGTGCTACCTAAGTGCAAAATGTTACATTTTATTTAAAGTGCTACTTAAGTGAATAATACTATGTTTTATTAGAGTAGTTTGTATTTCTGTCTACAGTTGCTCAATGAGTCAAACTGTTTTCCTCTTTTACCCTGTATTGTTTGGCATGGAAATTCGATTTTCAGCTGTAGGTTTCACTGAAACATCATTTATTGGAAGGGTGTCAAGGTAACTCAGATTTGAAGGAAATGCTGAAGGAACCAGGGACCCTCTGGGAGCCTCACTGAGTATAAACCAGGCCTTTAACCTGGCAAAAACTCTCACCGTCTTTTTCCATCTCATCTCTGCTTCTTAAAGTGGGTCACCTTCATTCATTCAGATTTTCCTTAGAGGCATGGAAACTGGTGTCTCTGAGACTATATTGTCCCAACTCCAGGACCTGAGAGAGGGGATTTCCCTGTGAACTGTGCTTGTAAAACTCTAGGTGAAAGAATTTGACTATCTTTATCACATTTCTATTCTTGTACTGATTCATTCATTCAGTAATATTGTATAAAAACCTAATAATTTCCAGGTCATTTTTTCAGCCTAGCTATATAGAAGTGAGCAAGGAAAAGTGTCTTTCTTTGCCTATTTTAAATTATAATGTGTGAAGTAGAGAACCAGCAAAGAGAAAAGAAAAGAAAATTTAAGTGGAAGTACAGTGAGGAATTTAATACAAAATAGTGTGACATGAAGAGATGGAGTTGAAAGCAGGATGCTTTTAGATAGCCAGAAGAATAGAAGCACTGCGATGGGCCACGCCAGTCCAGTCAGGGTTTTCTGAAAGAGGGTGAATCTGAAATATAAAGTTGTAGTGAAGAAGAAGCAGTTCCCTCAAAGGAAAGGGTGTGGCTATCTCCCAATTTGTAATCCCTAAAGACATGATATTGAGATTTATGGTGTGTCTCTGTGTCCCCACTCAAATCTCATGTCAAATTGTAATCCTTAGGTATCAGGGGAGGGTACTGGTGGGGGTGACTGGATCATGTTGGTGGATTTCCCCCTTGCTGTTCTTGTGATAGTGAGTGAGTTCTCACAAGATTTGATGGTTTAAAACTGTGTGGCACTTCCCCCTTCTTTCTCTCTCTCCTGCTCTGCCATGGTAAGATGGGCTTGCTTCTCCTACACCTTCTGCCATGATTGTAAGTTTCCTGAGGCCTCTCAGTCATGCTCCCTGCAGAACTGTGACTCAGTTAAGCTTCTTTTCTTCATAAATTACCCAGTTTCTGGTAGTTCTTCATAGCAACATGAGAATGGAATAATACATTGAGTAAAGACAACATAGATGTCTACTACATCCTCTCCTTCTGTTTATTTATTTATTTTTTAACTACCTTAGCTGTAAAATTACATGAAATCAGGTTGGGCATGGTGGCTTACGCCTGTAATCCCAGCACTTTGGGAGGCCAAGGTGGGTGGATCACTTCAGATTAGGAGTTCAATACCAGGCTGGTCAACATGGTGAAACCTCATCTCTACTAAACAATACAAAAATTAGCTGGGCATGGTGGTGCACACCTGTAGTCCCAGCTACTGGGAGGCTGAGGCGGGAGAATCACCTGAATCCAGGAGGCGGAGGTTGCAGTAAGCTGAGATTGCGCTACTGCACTCCACCTTGGCAACAGTGTGTAACTCCGTCTCAAAAAATAAAATAATAAAATAAAATAAAATTATGTGAATTCAAGTTTTGGATAAGAAGTGATTTAAAAAGTCACTTTATAGATGGCCTCTTAGCCATCATAACTAGAGATTGCATCTACAGAAAATGTTGCTTAAGCATTTGGTAATTTAGTAGATTATAGAACAATTCTAACACTTCAAACCTTTTATTCAGGAAGTAATAAAATTGTTAAACAATAATCCTGAGAAGTCACTGGAAGTTGTGGAAAAAAGTACATTCTCTAAAAATGTATGACAAAATAATATATAATGTATTTGTTGGAACATATTTATTGCATAACTAAAAATGTGAAACTAAGCCTTGTGATAATGACCGCAATAGTAAAAAATTAATCTAATGATCAACTCATATTCAAATTTAGCCAATAATATTACCAGTTACTTTGTACAAAACTTTTGAGGTTGCCAATAAACTAATTTTATATTTAACGTTTATTTTTGGAAATGTTTTATCTTTCTATCAATGGAGTTGCTAAAGTTTGAAAACGGCAGAAAAAGTACAAAGAGAAATAATCATTTCCTCCTCTGTGCTGCCTCTGATCTCATACACATGATTTTAATGTGTTTTTATTTGTTTACAGTTCTGTCTCTCCTACTGGCCTGGATGTTCATTAGAGCTGGTACTATTTACGTTCAATTTTTTATCTCTAATGCTGAGTTTAGTAATGCTTGACACATCATCACTGGTTAATTAATATTTATTAAATAAATAAATGAGCCCATAACCCTGAAGGACTTTGGTAACATTATCTTCTTCTCTTTACCAGTTGGGGACTATTGGAATAAAATTGAATGATGTGAACAGGAATGAGGTAATTGATTTACATTGTTCAAAATCTATTGCAGAAAAGTGATAACCAAAAAGAAAATTGAATTCTTTTTCCAACTTTAAGTAGGAAATCAAGGGAGCAAAGGGATGTCTTCAATTCCTTCTGTTACGTGGGAGTCTTTGAAAAGGGTTTTTTCCCTTTTGTGGCTTCAGCTAAAATGTTTCGCCTTACAGAAACAGACTAGATGGTGCAAACTGGTGATTACTTATTTCAGTTTTGAGCATAATGTTGAAAGAGCCATAAAATTGTTTCCCTTCATCAGGGGTGTAATGTGGCAAGTACAGGGGTAGCCATGCAAACTCAGTCCAACCTTTGTAGCCATTTAATTGGATGCTATTGGGTGCTGTCTCTGTGGACCATTTCCCATAAGGAAAGGAATCTTTTCTGTGACCTCCAATGCAATCAAAACTATTTGGCTTAATTTTATCTTCTCCAGAAGAACAGATCCAAAGAAAAATTACAAAAGAAATGTAATAGCACTTTTATTCCTTTCTGCTGGAGGGATTTGCAATGTGACTATTTTAAAACTTACTATTTTGCAAAAGCCAATTTTCTTCAAGAGGCCGTTAGCACTCAAATCAGCAGCACAATAAACTTACCAGAATCAGACTATGTTGAATGACGAAAAAAATTGTTGCAATTTTATAAAGCAGAATGACTTGCTTTGTGATATTATTTATTTATTTTACTATACAATACATGTTAGAATTAAGATGAAATGGGTGTTTCTGGTTTAAGGTCAATGCATACTACATAGTTTGGTGAACCTCGAAGCAGGCACTTCATTATATTTCTTAGAAAAGGCAGTGTCATAAGAGGTAACCACTTGACACCTAAGCCTGACAACTTAATTCAAATCTCAGATCTGTCACTTATTT
The DNA here is from genome assembly GCF_000001405.40 of Homo sapiens. Taxonomy (NCBI): domain Eukaryota; kingdom Metazoa; phylum Chordata; class Mammalia; order Primates; family Hominidae; genus Homo; species Homo sapiens. The sequence continues at coordinate 81,103,589 of NC_000003.12, forward strand.
TTGTAACTTATCTTTGCCTTACTACTTTTCTTGGTAAAATTAGATTAATGTGTGTGTTTATATATAAATATACATATACTATGACACAGGCCATTATATATGTATGTGTGTATATGTGTGTGTGTGTCTGTGTACATGCACCAATATGTCAACCCCAATTATGTTTTCAGGAACTGGTAAATATACACCAAATTGGCCCAGAGAACCACTGGACCCACTGGACTTTGGCAAATATTGGGCATTCACGAACTCAGTTGGCCCATTTGTCTTCCATTCTCCGTATAGCTCCATTCTTTTATTATTATTATACTTTGAGTTCTGGGGTACATGTGCAGAACATGCAGGTTTGTTACATAGGTGTACACGTGCCATGGTGGTTTGCTGCACCCATCAACCCGTCATCTACATTAGATATTTTTCCTAATGCTATCCCTCCCCTAGCCTCCCAACCCCCGACAGGCCCCCTTATGTGATGTTCCCCTCCCTGTGTCCATGTGTTATCATTGTTCAACTCCCACTTATGAGTGAGAACATGCAGTGTTTGGTTTTTTGTCTCTGTGTTTGTTTGCTGACGCTAGAAGAATGCCATTCAGGACATAGGCATGGGCAGAGACTTCATGACAAAACACCAAAAGCAATGGAAACGAAGCCAAAATTGACAAATGGGATCTAATTAAACTAAAGAGCTTCTGCACAGCAAAACAAACTATCATCAGAGTGAATAGGCAACCTACAGAATGGGAGAAAATTTTTGCAATCTACCCATCTGACAAAGGGCTAATATCCAGAATCTACAAAGAACTTAAACAAATTTACAAGAAAAGACAAACAACAACATCAAAAATGAGAGAAGGATATGAACAGACATTTCTCAAAAGAAGACATTTATGCAGCCAATAAACATATGAAATAAAGCTCATCATCACTAATCATTAGAGAAATGCAAATGAAAACCACAATGAGATATCATCTCATGCCAGTTAGAATGGCGATCATATAGCTCCATTCTAAGAGGAGGGGCCATAAAAACTCTTCAGGTGTTCAGGTATCCATGTCAACTCACATTCTCTGTGTAATAATTCTTTGAATATATAAGCATGCTGATTTTCTCAATGAGCAGTCACCTTAGAAAACTTTCACCATGGCTTTGACAATTACCAGTCTCCTTGATCATGAGCTTATAGTTCCTTACCCTTGCCTCAAATAACTGCTTATTAAGGTGTAACAAAAATGTGCTTCATTCTTTGTTTCCCCTCAACTCCAGAATCATGGCTACCTCTTCTTGCTTTTCACTCTCTTTCCTTTCTTGATTTCAGGCTTGTATGTATTTCAAGCATCTACCCCAACCCTTCCCCCATATTTTGCTCCTAAACATTATTTTAGCTTCCCAATTCTGGCTTTCTCACTGACACTATGATGCTCCTTTGTTCATGCTTTCTGTTCCAACTAGCCTTCCCAGCAAGAATATCCCACAGCTTCACAGCTGAAATTCCCACTCGTTTTACACTTTCAAACTCTCTAATCTTCCCTTCCCACGGTTGAACTTATTATTTCTCTGAAGTATCAATAAACATTTACTTCTTAATTAACCAAACTAATTTTGTAATTGTGTTTACATTTGATTTTATAAAAGACACGGTCACCTATATTATTGTTTTCTTACTATCATCTTCTAAATTGATTAAGATTATCTTCACCACCTACTTTTTTGTTTTTGTTCTGGCTGCCAAAACAAAAAATGACTCAAAATTTGAAACACTGTAACACATTAGCACATCCCCTTAGAAATACATGACATTTCATTCTAACTACTCATTCTACTTAAATATTTTACGCCCTAGGATACTCCACTGTGTCCTATCTCATATCTTTATGGTTTTCTGACACTTTATTGATAACATAATATTCACATAACAAACAGGTTTAGCATTCTGATATCTTCCTTTTGAATTAAACTCTTTATCATTATGAAATTCCTCTCTTTAGATCTAGTTATAAGTTATGACTGGGTTCTATTTTGGTAAGACTGGAAACTTCTGGCTTACTGCTGTTCCTAAGGTGTTGCCTTCTTTCTGGGGCTTTTAAATAAGGATCTTTGTCACCTCATCACTGCAAGATTACAGGATATATTGAATTCTGCCTGTTAGAAGATTTTAGCTCACTTTTTAATATTTAACCGCACACTGCTTCAAATTTTGACAAATGCCTTGAGGTAAAGAATAGACATGTTTGTAAAGACTCCAATATGTCACCTTAGCCCCGCATGAGAAGCAAAATGCCTCATGGTTTCCTGTCCCTCATTAGTGTACGTTTTTTTGTTTGTTTTGTTTTGTTTTTTTAGGCACAATTCCTGAATTCTCAAGCTCTGACTAACTCTAGTCACTTGTAAATGATAAGTGTTCACATGTAGAAAATAGAAAATAGCTGTATATCCCCACTGTCAATGCACCACTTCCTTTAATGCCATTGTGTACAGCCTCTTTTGTTGTTTCCTTACCCTAGATGGATGGGTCTCCGTTTCTAAGTACTGTGAGCTGTGGGCCACTTAACTTATTCAGAATTCAGAAAACAAGCCACATATTCAAGGCCCCTAAGTCTCCAATTTTGTTACTTTAGCAACCTTTGCCACCACTAAAAGTTCTGTGATTTAGCTTTTGGCCCAGCAGGAGCTCATGGCCTGGTGTATGCCCACATCTGCAGCCACACCCAGGACCAGCAAATGCATACAGGGAAAAATAACAGCTGCCAATTGTCATATTCCCTCTGAACAGTTCTCTGTTCTCTGTTCTCTGGAGGTTCTGTTAGTCCTCATTACTTCCACGGCTCTTGTATGCTTTTTAAAATGCAATTTTCGCAACTCATCCTGTTTCTCTAGCAGTTGTCAGAGGAAGCATTGTCCTGACATTACCAACTACACCTAACTCAAAAGCAAGATTTTTGTTTTGTTTTAATCTTCAATTTCTCCCTCTTGGCCACTAGTTTTCTTCTCTGTAAGTTGAAAGTTCTATCCAATCCTACTTAATACAACTTTCAACACTTATGAAAAAAATACTGTCTTTCTGGCAAGGCTCACCTTGAGTTTGTTTGTCCTAAACATGGAATCAGTTGTTCCACTGCGAATCCTGATTCCTGTTAGTGAAGAATAGCATTAGAGAATTAGGGGCTGAAATCTTGGCATTAAGATTGTATTTCAGATTGTTTCTTGTGACAGCTAAGTAAATGCAACCTGAAATGAGTTATAAAAGGTTATCCGTGAAAAAAAATGATGAGTTCATGTTGACACTTCTATCATGATACAAATATTGCTGCAATAATAGCATATTAACTTATTAACCATTTTTAATAAAATGTGATACACTATTTTATGATATCATTATAGACTTTACCAGATTGTTAACTTCCACTTCTATTTTTCTTTTAACTCGTAGAAGAAGTGTCCAGTCATGGGTTATAAAGTAAGAAAGTCCATTAAGTAACCATTATCAAAATCATTTTAACACCAACTTTCCAGAAAATATAAAAACCTCTTAGCTTTTCTCTGAAAACTGACAAATTCAGTAGCCTAGATATGGCTAGACTGATATGGCTTGGCTGTGTCCCCATCCAAATCTCATCTTGACTTTGCACGTGTTGTGGGAGGGACCCAGTAGGAGGTAACTGAGTCATGGGAGCAGGTCTTTGCTGTGCTGTTCTCATGATAGTGAACAAGCCTCGAGAGATCTGATGCTTCTATAAAGGGAGTTCCCCTGCAGAAGCTCTCTTTTTGCCTGTGGTCCTCCATGTAAGATGTGACTTGCTCTTAGGACAAAAACCTAAGGCATGCAGGGCTGAAAACCTAGATGAAGGGTTGACAGGTGCCACAAACCACTTTGGCATATGTATACCTATGTAACAAACCTGCATGTTCTGCACATGTATCCTGGAACTTAAAAGTAAAAGTAAAATAAAATAAAGACGTGACTTGTTCCTCCTTGCCTTCCACCATGATTGTGAGGCCTCCCCAGTCATGTGGAACTGTAAGTCCATTAAACCTCTTTTTTTTTTTCGCAGCCTTGGGTATGTCTTTATCAACTGTCTGAAAACAGACTAATACAGAGACATATATTTCAGATAAAGGCACAAGCAATTAGGAGCAAAGAAAAGTATAACACAGATTGTATTAGTTCTCACATGGCTATAAAGATACTACCCAAGACTGGGTAATTTACAAAGGAAAGAGATTTAATTGAATCACGGTTCCTCATGGCTGAGGAGGCCTCAGGAAACTTACAATCATGGTGGAAGGGGAAGGAGGCACCTTCTTCACAAGGTGGCAGGACAGCAAAGAGAAGGTGAAGTGGAAAGTTCCTTATAAAACCATCAGATTTCATGAGAGCTCACTCACGATTACAAGAACAGCATGGGGGAAACTGCCCCCATGATCCAGTCACCTCCCACTGGGTCCCTCCCTTGACACATGGGGATTACAATTCAAGATGAGATCTGGGCGGGGACAGAGAGCCAAACCATATCACAGACCAATATAATATTTTGCTTTGTTTTAATCCAAAACTCACCTTCTCTTTGTGGCATTAATGTCATGTAGTTAATTGCTCTGATATAAAAAGATATTGAGCATTTTTTAAAATTTTTTGAGATGGAGTCTTGCTCTGTTGCCCAGGCTGGGGTGCAGTAGCAGGATCTTTGCTCACTGCAACCTCCACCTCCCAGGTTCAAGCAATTCTCCTGCCTCGGCCTCATGGGTAGCTGGGACTACAGGCATGCACCAACAGGCCCAGCTAATCTTTGTATTTTTAGTAGAGATGGGATTTCACCATGTTGACCAGTCTGGTCGCGAACTCCTGACCTCATTTAGTTATTTCCTCAGGTAAGTCAAATTGTTATAACCCATACTTAGTTCCCTAGATAAAGCTCCCCAAGTGCCATAGACTGCAAAGCAATCTCCCTAAGTATTTACCTTTCAAAAGAAGACATGGGAAATATTTCTAGGTCATAAAATCCAGGGACACCAGGTATTTATTTGTCCCTAGGAAAGGCATATTTATGTTCCAAAAATTTAGTGTGAGAACTCAGTCTCTTCCCCATTCAATTTTTAAGAACCAAAACTGTTTTCCATACTTTTGGGAGGAGTGAGGTTGATGGTCTATCTACTGTACATAAACAGAAAAATTCATGTTTTGTCACTCATCAGTGAAATATCTGGCCACTCTTGTAAGAAAATTTTCTACCTGGTTTTCATCATGTTACTACAGGGGTTAGTTATTTCATCAGTGTTTGATAATTTTCAGTATACAGATTTTTCACTTTCTTGGTTAAATTTATTCTTAACTATTTTGTTATTTGTAATGCTATTATAAGTGGAATTGTTTTCTTAATTTTTTCTGAGAATTTATTGTTAGTGCGTACAAATGCAACTAATTTCTGTATATTAATTTTGTCTTCTGAAACTTTACTAAATTTCTTTATTAGTTCTAACAGATTTTTGGAGGAGTCTTTAGGGTTTTCTATATAAAAAATCATATTGTCTGTAGACAGAGACAATTTTACTTCTTATCTGATTTGGATACCTTTTATGTCTTTTTATTAACTAATTGCTCTTGCTAGGACTTTCACCACTTTGTGGAACAAAAGTGGTGAGACTGAGCACTCTTGCCCTGTTCCTAATTTTAGGAGAAAGCTTTCAGCATTTCACCATGGAGAATGACATTGGCTGTGGGCTTGTCATATATGGCTTTCATTGCGTTGATATACATTAATTCTACATCTAATTTGTTAGGAGTTTTTAATCATGAAATATTGTTGAATTATGTCAAATCCTTTTGCTACATCTATTGAGATAATCACGTGATTTCTATCATGTATTCTTTCAGTGTAGTATATCACATTTTATTGATCTGTGTATGTTAAACCTACCTTGCATACCAGGAATAACTCTCACTAGATTGTAGCATCTGATCCTCACAATATGCTGTTGAACTAGGTTTGATAGTATTTTATTGAGGATTTTTGCCTCTGTGTTCATGAGGGATATTGCCCTGTGTTATCTTTTCTTGTAGTCTTCTTATCTGAGTTTGGTTTAAGAGTAATGTTTGGCAGTGCCCCCCCCTTTCCAATTATTTGGAAGATATTGAGAAAGATTAGCTTCAATTTTTCTTTTAATGCTTGATACAATTTACCCATGAAGTGATGTGGTCCTTTGCTTCTCATTTTTGGGGAGTTTTAGATTACTGTTAAATATCCTTACTCATTATTGGTCTGAAGGTTTTTCTATTACTTCATAATTCATTCTTGGTAGGTTATATGTTTCTAGACATTTATTCTTGTCTTCTAAATTATCCAATTTCTTGGTATATAATTGTTTATAGTCATCTCTCATGATGTTAAAAAATTTCTGTGGTATTAATAATAATGTCTCTCTTTCATTTATAATTTTATTTATCTGAGTCCTCTTTCCATTTTTCTTGGTAATTCTAAAAAGCAGATTTATAAATTTTATTATTTTTCCAACACTCAGTCACATTGATATTTCTATTATTTTTCTAGTCTCTTTTTTATTTATTTCCATTTTAATATTTATTAGATAAGTCTCACCTCATCTTTAAACTAATACTGGCATATTCCCCTAAAGAAAATTATGTTGGGGGTGAGAAAAATCAATCAATATATTAGTTGTAATGCCTTGAGACCATTCTAAATTATTATATATAGTAATACCATAAATGAAGATCATTTTAATTATCAACTTCTCAAACATGGATAATAAAAATAGTTACATATTCTACCTGATTTAGCATCACATAGACATTTAAAATCTATTTAACAGAACCAGAGTTTTCTTTGTCTGCACCTTATTCATTTTTTATTGTAAATTAAGTATGACTATTGTTACTTTCATTCATGAGTATAAAATGCACTGGTAAAAATAAGTATGAAGCCAAATTTAGAATAATTTAATATTATCATGATGACGTTAAATTACTTATATCTTTAGTGAGAAGGTAAAAAGACAAAACTATTAAAAATAATAGTAGATAAAATAATTTGTTAAGAGATACAAAATATAAAAAGATGAAAACTATGACATCAAAAACATAAAATGTTGGAGGAACGGATGGAGTAAAAGTGTTGATTATTTTATGCAATCAAAGTTAAGTTGTTATTGGTGTAAAGCCCCCTGTTTTTAGTATAGCATGTTTTATGTAAGCCTCATGGTAACCACAAAGCAAAAACCTATAGTATATGCACAAAAGATAAAAAGTAAAAATCATAGAACTCTACTAGACAAAAATTAATCTCAAAGGAAGACAGCAAGAGAGGAATAAAGGACATACAAAATAACCAGGAAGAAAATAACAAATGCAGTAGTAAGTTCTTATCTATCAATAATTATCTTGACTATAAATGGATAAATTCTCCAATCAAAGACAGAGTAGATAAATGGATTTTTAAAAAGATCCAAGTATATGCTAACTGCTAGAGACTCATTATCTATAAGGATACATGGAGATTGAAAATAAAAGGATACGAATGCTATTCCATGCAAATGTAGACCAAAAAGAGCAGGGGCAAATATATGTATAATATGTAAAGTAAACTTTAAGTCAAAACTATAAAGTAAATTAGATAATTCTATTTTGATAAAGGACTCAATTGATCAAGAGAATAAGACAATTGCCAATATATGTCCAAAGCATCAGAGCACTTAAATATGTATAGCAAATATTAATAGAACTGAAGGGAAAATAGACTGTAACACAATAGTAGAATGGGATTTCAGTACTACAGTTTTAGCAGTGTACAAACCTTCCACACAGATAATTGATAAGGAAACGTTACACATAAATTACACTTTAAATAGACTTAACATACATACAGAACTTTTCATCCAACAGTAGCAGAATGCACATTCTTCTTAAGCACACATGGAACATTTTTCAGAAAAGATCCTATGTTAGGCCACAAAACAATTCTTTTAATACAAAACAGGTTTTTAATAAAAAAGTTAACAACATGCTGTGAAATGACCAATAGGTCGAAGAACAAATTGAAAGAAAATTATAACAATATTTTGAGATAAATTAAAATGGACATACAACATACCAAAACTTATGGGATGCAGCATAATCTGTTCTAAGAGAGAGGTTTATAGCAATAAATGCCTACATCAAATACAAAGAAAGATCTCAAATAAAAAGCCTACCTTACATTTCAAGAAATTTAAAAAATGAATAACCTAAACCTACAGTTAGTACAAGAAAGAAATAATAAGGATCAGAGAAGACACAGATGAAATAGAGACCAGAAAACAATAGAAAGATCAGTAAAACTAAAGTTGTGTCTCTTGAAAGATAAACAACAAAGAAATTTAGCTACACCCCCCAAAAAGAGAAAATACTCTAATAAACCACAAATAAAAGTAAAAACATTAAAACTCCTACATGGAAACAAAGAAATCGTAGGAGACTACTATGAACAATTATATGACAATATATTGGATAACCTGGAATAAATTGATAAATTTCTAGAAATTTACAACCTACCCAGACTGAATCATAAAGGAGAAGGTCTGAAAAGACTAATAATGAATAAGGAGATAGTATCAGTAATAAAAAATCTCCCATCTAAGATGAGAGTGATTCCCAAGACCTGATGGCATCTCTGATTTCTATCAAAAATATAAAGAACTAGCACAACCAAACCTCAAACTCTTCCAAAACTGAAGGAAAGAAAATACTTCCAAACTCATTTTACAAAGCCAGAACTACCTACTGATACCAAAGTCAACTTAGGGGCACTCTGAGAAAAGAAAGTAACAGGCCAATGCCTGTGATCAACATAGATGCAAAAATTCCCAACAGAATACTAGCAAACCAAATTTAATGACATATTAAAAGAATCATGCACCATAACCAGGTGTGATTTACCCCATGGATTCAAGGTTGACATAACACAGGCAAATCTAAAAATGCAAGACACCACATTAACAGAATGAAGGACAAAAACCATATGATCACCTTAATAGATGCATCAAAATAATTTGACAAAATTCATCATCTTTTTGTGATAAAACTCTCAAAAAATTAAGTATGAAAGGAGTGTACCTAAACACAAAAATTCCATAAGTAACAAGCCCACAGCTAACATCACACTCAAATGACTCAAATGTTATACGCCAGCAAAGAACTATGTGAATTAGAAATAAAGAAATCATCTTACTTAAAATAGCTACAAAGATAAAATAAAGGCCAGGCACGGTGGCATACAACTGTAATCCTAGCACTTTGGGAGGCTGAGGCTGGTGGATCACGAGGTCAGGAGTTCAAGACCAGCCTGGCCACGATGGTGAAACCCCATCTCTACTAAAAATGCAAAGAAATTACCTGGGTGTGGTGGTGAACGCCTGTAATCCCAGCTATTCGGGAGGCTGAGGCAGAGAATTGCTTGAACCCAGGAGGCAGAGATTACGATGAGCTGAGATCCTGCCACTGCAGTTAAGCCAACCTGGGGGGTGGAGGTTGCAGTGAGCCGAAATCGTGCCACTGCACTTCAGCCTGGGTGACAAAGTGAGACTCTGTCTAAAAATAAATAAATAAATTAATTAATTAAATAAAATACTTAGGTATCAATTTAACCGAGGAGTTGAAAGATCTGTACACTGAAAACTATGAAACACTGATGAAAAAATTTGAAGAAGACATAAATATTTGGGAAGATATTCAGTTCTTATGGATTAGAAGAAGAGATATTGTTAAAATGGCCTACTAAAAAAAATGCAGACACAGATACAATGCAATCCTTGTCACAATTCCAATGACATTTTTTATAAAAATAGAAAAAAATCCTAAAATTTGTGTGGCACCACAGAGAACACCAAATAGCCAAATAAATCTACAGCAAAAAGAACAAAGCTAGAGGCATCACACTACCTAACTTTAAAATATATTACAAAGCTGTAGTAATCAAAACCACATATTACTGGCATAAAAGCAGATATAGAGAACAAATGAAACAAAAGAGCCCAGAAATGTGCTTGTACAATTATGGATATCTTAGTGTGTTTTAGGCTGCTATAATAGAATACTACATATTGGGTAATTTATAATGAGCAGAAATTTAAGGACTGGAAAATTTATAATTAAAGGGCCACATCTGGTGAGAGTCTTGTTGCTTCATCATACCATGGTGGAAGGCATAACATGTTGACAGAGGGCACTCAAAAGAACAAGACAGGGCCAAACTCACCTTTATAGCAAACCCACTATCACAATAGTAAATCCACTCCTACAATAATGATAATAATCACCTCTCAAAAGTTGCCCCATCTAAACAATGTCATATTAGAGATTAAGTTTCTGACACATAAATTTTGTGGACACATTCAAACCATAACAACAGTCAACTATTTTTCAACAAAGGTGCCAAGAATGCAATGGAGAAAAGACAGCATTTAACAAATGATGTTAAGAAAACTGGATATCCACATGCACATGAATAAAATTAGACCCTTATCTCACAACACATACAAAAAATCAACTTAGAGTGAGTTATATACTTAGAAGTAACACGTAAAAGTGTAAAATTACTGGAAGAAAACATGGGGGGAACTCTGTGACATTAGTCTGGTCAATGAAATTTCGATATGATCCCAAAAGCACTGACAACATAAGCAAAAAAAAAAAAAAAAGACAAATAATATTACATCGAACTACAAAGCTTCATCACAGCAAAAGACACAATCAACAGAACAAAGAGACAACCTATGTAAAATGAGAAAATATTTGCAAACCATACATCTGATAAGAGGTTAATATCCAAAATATGTAAAAAAAAAAACCTCGAACAACTCAAAATCAAGTAAACAGATAACCTGATTTAAAAACTGACAAAAAAATAGACATTTTTCAAAAAAAGACATATCAATGATCAACAGATATACAAAAAAATGCTCAATATTACTATTCATCAGAGAAATGCAAAATATAACCACAATGAGGTAAGTATCTTACACTTGTTAGAATGGCTATTATCAAAAAGACAAAAGATAATAAGTATTGGCAATGATTTCGGAAAAAGAGAACACTCATACACTGTTGGTGAGAATGCAAATTATACAGCCATTATGAAAACAGTTTGGAGATTCCTCAAAGGATAGAAACCAGAACTATCATACTGTCCAGCAATCCCACTTCTGGGTATATGTTCCAGTTTGAATGTTTGCCCCCTCCCAAACTCATGTTGAAATTTAATTGCCATTGTATTAGAATAATGAAGTAGTAGAAACTTTAAGAGTTGATTAGGCCACTTGGAAGCTCCACTCTCATCAGTGGGATTGGTGTCATTATAAGAGGGTGAGTTCAGCCCCTTCTTGCTCTCCCTTGCCCTTTTATATTTTGTCATGGGATGATGCAGCAAGTAGGCCCTTACTAGAGGCTGGCAACCAGATATTGGACTTGCCTGCCTCCAAAACTGAGCCAATACATTTTGTTCATTATGAGTTACTCAGTCTCAGGTATTCTGTTACAGCAGCACAAATGGACTAGGACAGTAAAATGGTAACAAAAATTTCATTATAGTGTTGCTATAATGAATACCTAAAACTGTGGAAGGGGCTTTGGAACAAAGTAAGAGATAGAGATTGGAGCAGTTTTGAAGTTAATGCTAGAAAAATTCTGTATTGTCATGAAGAGAGCATTACAGATATTCCAATGAGAAACAAGAAGAAGAGAAGAGTTGTAGGAAAACTTGGAAACTTCTTAGAGATTAGTGGTTTGTGATCCAAACGTTGGTACAAATATGGACAGTAAAGGCAATCCTGACGAGGTCTCCGATAGAAATGAGGAGCAGCATATTGGAAACTAAGTAAAATCCATTCTTGTTGTAAAGCGGCCAATAACGTGAATGAATTGTGTCAATACCTAAGGCCTTCATGGAAGACAAAATTCAAGAGTGATGAACTAGGATATCTAACTAAAGAAACTTTTAAGCTGCAAAGCATTGAAGAAACCGTATGGCTAATTAATCACATAAAGTAAAATTTGAGAAGAGAAAAGTGATTTAAAGATTGTATTAGCTCATTCTCGCACTGCTATAAAGAACTACCTGAGACTGTGAAATTTATGAAGAGAAGATGTTTAACTGACCCACAGTTCTGCAGCCTTAACAGGAAGCATGACTAGGAGGTCTCAGGAAACTTACAATCATGATGGAAGGCAAAGGGGAAAAAAAGCATGTCTTCTGCATGTCTTCACATAGTTCCAGAAGGTGCAGGAGGTGGGGGTGGGGCGGGCGAGAATGCTACACACTTTTAAACAAGGAGATCTTGTGAGAAGTCACTGACTATTACGAGAACAGGAAGGGGGAAATCCACCCTCCCATAATCCAGTGACCTCCCACCAGGCCCCTCCTTCAACAGTGGGAATTAGTTTGACATGAGATTTGAGTGTGGACACAGAGCCAAACCATATCAAAGATGTAATATAAAATTAAAAGAGAATTAAAATGTAAAAATTTGAAACATTACCAGCCATGTCAAGGACAAAAAAAATGCTGTGTGGGTGAGAATACCAAGAGTTGGTGAGCAAGAGAAACTTTGATAAGGAAGCTCATCTGTATAGAAGGAAACCAGCTGCCACTCATCAGCACAATAAGAAAGACCCAGAAGGCATTTTAGAGATCTTCAGGGTTGTCCCTCCCATTACAAGCTCAGAGCCCTATGCCTTGAGTGCTGAATTGTTATTGGTGAAAGGCACAGTGTGCACATGGTACCTGAGGGAAACCTGTGGCCTCCGCTTTCCAAATTTTCGCACTGCACTTCTTGACACTCCAGCTGTAGCTCAAATGGGCAAAGCATGGCTCAACCTGCTGCTCTGGCATGCAGGATGTAAGAGCTGTGGAAGCATGACTGCCTCCACCTAGATTTGTAAGAATGTATCAGACAGCCTGGGTATCCAGGCAGAGACTTGCCACATGGGTGAATCCACCACAAAACCTCTATTAGGGATTTCTCTGTGCCATTTGGGCTATGGGAGTAAAGCTGCCCCCAATACCCCAGAAAGTAGAGTTTACCAGCTTAATTGCAGCCTGGGAAAGCTTCTGGCAGGAGGTTTCAACTAGTGAGAGCTGCTGTGTGGGCTGAGCTCAACAAACTCATAGAGGCAGGAATGCCTGAGGCCTTAGGGACCCATCACCTTCTTCACTGTGTCTAGGTGATAGGACATGTAGTCAGGGAAAATTATTTTGGAGCCTTCAGATTTAATGTTGTTCTCTCTGTTAAGGTTTTTACTTACTTGGGACAAGTTACTTCTTTTTTTTCTTGTCTATTTTTTTCTTTTTCAAATGGCAGTGATGATCCTATGCTTGCTCCATCATTGTAATTTGGGAGCATGTTATGTATTTTGATTTCACAGGCTCACAGAGGAAAATTTACCACAGGATGAATTGTGCTTTAGATTTAGATATGACTTTGGAGTTTGGACTTTTGAGTTGATGCTAAAATAAGTTAAGACTTTTGGGACTATTTAGATGGAATTCATGTATTTTTTATGTCAGCCAGAACAGAATGCTATAGTTTGAATATTTCTCTCCTCCATATATTAAATATATATATTAACAATTGTTTTGTGTTTTTAACATAAAATTTGGTAGTAGCTGTCTGTGAAATAAATTACAATCTACCAAAGTACATTTTAAGAACAGTAAAAATGAGTTATCACTAAAGTGGTGATTAGGTTTCTATGTTCTCGCATTATTGTTACGACTAAATTTTTTTGAGGAAAACAAATAGAACAACTGGTAAAAAAGTAAAATTCTCCTGAGGACTGGAACAAGACAAGGATGTCCACTTCCACTACTTCTATTCAACATGGTACTGGAAGTCCTATCCAGAGCAATCAGGCAAGAGAAAGAAATAAAGGAGATCCAAATTGAAAAAGAGGAAATCAAATTATCACTGTGTGCCATATACACTAGATATGAGTGTATACCTAGAAAACCCTGAAGACTCATCCAAAAGACCCCTACATCTGATAAAAGAATTCAATGAAGCCTAAGGTTACAAAACCAATGTATACAAATTAGTAGCACTGTTACTAATCAATAACTCAATCAAGAACTCAATCCCTTTTACAACAGTTGTAAAAAGAAAAAAAGTCACCGAGGAATTCACTTAACCAAGGAGGTGAATGATCTCTACAAGGAAAACTACAAAACACTGCTGAAGTAAATCATAGATGACACAAACAAATGGAAACATATGTCATACTTATGTATAGGAAGAATCAGTGTGGTGAAAATGACCATATCTCCCAAAGCAAACTATGGTTTCAACGCAATTCCCATGGAAATACTCTCCTCAATTTTTACAGAACTAGAAAAACCTAATGTAAATGATGAGTTAATGGGTGCAGCACACAAACCTGGCACATGTATACATATGTAACAAACCTGCACGTTGAGCACATGTACCCTAGAACTTAAAGTATAATTAAAAAAAGAAAAAAAATTTTTGAAATTTCATACGGAACTGAAAAAGAGCCCAAATAGCCAAAGAAATACTAAGAAAAAAAAAACACACACACATCTGGAGCTATCACATTACCAGACTTTAAATTATACTATAAGGCTATAGTTACCAAAAAAGTATGGTGCTGGTATAAAAATAGGCATTTATACTAATGGAATAGGACAGAGAACCCAGAAATAAAGTCAAATAATTACAACCAATTGATCTTTGACAAAGCATATGGAAGCATAAATTGGGAAAGGACATCCTATTCAAGAAATGGTGCTGGGAAAACTGCCAAACCACATGTAGAAGAATGAAACTGGATTCTCATCTCTCACCTTATACACAAATCAACTCAAGATGGATCAAAGACTTAAATCTAAGACCTGAAACCATGAAAATTCTGGAATATAACATTGGAAAATCTCTTCTGGACATTGGCATAGGCAAACAATTCACGTCTATAGCCCCAAAAACAAAGGCAACAAGAACAAAAATAAATAAATGGGACCCAACTAAACGAAAAGGTCTGCACAGCAGAAGAAATAATCAGCAAAATAAACAGACAACCCAGAGAATGTGAGAAAATATGTGCACACTGTGCATCTAACAAAAAACTTGTATTAATCCATTCTCATGCTGCACTAAAGAGCTGCCTGAGACTTAGTAATTTATAAAGGAAAGAGGTTTAATTGACTCTCAGTTACACCTGGCTGGAGAGGACTCAGGAAACTCACAATCAAGGTGGAAGGGGAAGCGAACACATCTTTTTCTTCACATGATGGCAGGAAGGAGAAGAGCCTAGCAAAAAGGAAAATACCCCTTATAAAACCATCAGATCTCATGAGAACTCACTCACTATCATGAGTACAGCATCATGAGGGTAACTGCCCCTATGATTTAATTACCTCCTACTGTGTCCCTGCCACCACAAGTTTGGATTACAGGAACTACAATTCAAGACAAGATTTGGGTGAAGACACAGCCAAATCATACCAAGACTAGTTTTCAGAATCTACAAGGAACTCAAACAAATCCGCAAGAAAAAAACAAATAATCCCATCAAAAGTGGGCAAAGGACATGAATAGACATTTCTCAAAAGGAGATGTACAACTGGCCACCAAACATGAAAAAAAATGCTAAGCATCACTAATTATCAGTGAAATGCAAATTAAAACCACAATGAGATACCACTTTACTCCTGCACAAATAGCCATAATTGAAAAGTCAAAAAGCAATAGATATTGGCATGAATGTGATGAATAGGGAGCACTTTCACACTGCTGGCAGGAATGTCAATCAACACAACCTCTATGGAAAACAGTAGGGAGGCTCCTTAAAAGATCGATCTACCATTCGATCCAGTAATCCAAAGGAACATAAGTCATTATAGAAAAGGACACATGCACACACATGTTTATAGCAACACATTTCACAATTCCAAAGATATAGAATCAACCTAAGTGCCCATCAACCAACAAGTGGATAAAAAAATGTGATATATATACATCATGGAATACTACTCAGCCATTGAGGTATAAAATGTGATATATATATATATATATATATATATATATATATATATATAAATGAAATATTACTCAGTGATAGAAAGAAATGAAGTAGTCTTTAGTAACAACTTGGATGAAGCTGGAGGCCATTATTCTAAGTGAAGTAACCCAAGAATGGAAAACCAAATACTGTATGTTCCTGCTTATAAGTGGGAGCTAAGCCATGGGGACATAAAGACACACAGAATGATATAATCGACTGTGGGGACTTGGTGAGGGAGGTTGGGAGGGAGGTGAGTGGTAAGGTTACATAGTGGGTACAGCATACACTGCTCACATGATGGGGGCACTAAAATCTCAGAATTCTTCACTATGGAATTCATCTATATAACCAAAAACCACTTGTACCCCAAAAGCTATTGAAATAAAAATAAGCATACAAATGGTAAAAAAAAACTCAAATAATAAACATTTCTAAAAATTCCCCAAATCAAACAAACAAAAAACCATTAACCAAGATATGAAAACAACTTAAGTGTTTACTGACAGAAGAATGGATAAAGAAATTGTCAGTGGTGAGTACCAGGAACAGAGAAGGGCAAAAAATGGGGAGAAGTACAACAGTACAAAGTTTTAGTTATATAGAATGAATGTCTAGATATCTAACAAACAGCATGAGGACTATAGTTATATTATATACTGAAATTTTGCTAATATGGCAGATTTTAGAAACTCTTACTACAAACACACATGAAAAGAAAAAGATAACTATGAAAGGTGATGAAAAGCATAATTTACTTGACTGAAGTAATTATTTTACTGTGTATATGTGTATATCAAAACACCATGTTGTACACCTCAATATATACAATTTTAAAAAGGGTTCTTCATAATTACAATAAATGTCATAATTATACATACAAAACCTAGTTAATAATTTTAAATAAAATTATTATACATTTTATGTTAATTTTTTCTGTGCAAATTATTTTATTTTTTCTCAAAAATGTAGTCATAACAATTATGCAAAGACATAGAAACCTAATCACCATTTCAGTGCTAACTGTTTTTAAATTAATTTTGGCAGATTATAATTTATTTTGCAGACATCTACCATCACTTTTATATTAAAAACAAAAAACAATTGTTAATTGATTATATATAATTTTTAATATATAGAATATTTGCTATATTTGGTTTTCAGTTCTGCAGCCTATGTTAGATTTACTGCAAACATACACGATTCCTAAGCTCAATATTAGTAGCGACTTTGCCACAGTTATGATTATTTGAGAGATCACCTAATCAAAGCATTTTCCCAGGATCTGCCAAAGAATCATTAAAGCATCAGGAAGAGTTCATTTTTTGTCTGTATAATACACATAAAGACAAAAGATGAATTATCCAATTATACTATGATTCATAAAAAATTCATCATTCTAATACCTATGAGCTGAAGTAGATATATAGATCCTATTAGCGATATGATTCCGTGTAACTTACAGGTGCCATGGTAAATATTTTATTTTATAAAAATAAGACCTTTTCCTTCCTACATTAATTTATTTCTCTGTACCTGAGGCAATATTTTCATTTCATCCTACATAAGAGATGTGAGAAAAATACAATATAACCAGCAACAAGTTCAGACAGGGCTAAACTTTACTAATGATGGGTTTTGAAAAAGATGTATTTTCTTTAGTTGCTCCATTATACACACTAAAATATTACTTCAATTGTGAATTAGGGGCAGTGAGGGTGAATCACCTCTCTACAACCACATCATAAATATTTTTTAGTACATACAGAGACAGCCAAAACACTAACATGATGATTAAACCTGCATTAATTGATGAAAATATGTAAAGTTTACTCCACAGATAAAGCATGAATGTATATAAAATTAAGCTAAAACAATCATGGGTAGCTTGTCTTTATATCTCATTAATTACCCAAGTATATTCTCATCACAGTGTTTCTAGAACATAGTGGGTGTTTTAAGACCTTTGTGTCACCTGCATGGACTTGGGGTCAAGCAAAACTTATAGAATATGCAGATATACATTTTGCCTATTCTGCCAAGACATATAAACCCCTTTAACTCTGACGAGGTGTTTCGTGTCCTTTGTCAGCATTGATGAAATTGGAAGAGGCTGACTTTCCAGCCTTTAAATAGACTAAAGTCTCAAATCTATCACAGATGCTGGAAATTCTAGCAATAAGGATAGAATGCTAAGACACATGGTTGTCTGTTATTAGTGATGAAAGATACAGGCCCTCCTGGGTGATTCAGGTTTATAAGATTCCCCTATGATTTTCTGCCAATGCTCTTGTCCAAGTTGTATGTGAGGAAATAGAGAAATAAGCAACTATCACTGCCCTACCTTCTAATGAAAGGTCTGAGGCTAAGTGGGGAGAGGTGGAATTGAAACAGCTGCCCAAAGACTACTTTGTTTCCTATTTTATTCTGGTGGAGAAAGAAATATTCTTATGATATAGCGCAGCATGTTTCATAGCTCCAGCTAAAATGCAATGTGATTGTGGATGTTGAGTTCCCAAAGCTAAAATAAATGCTTTCAGTGATGAAGACCTTAATATTCACTATAGTGATTTTTGGTGGACCAAATGTTACATATTCACTTGATGGAGCAATGAGTAAGCAGCAAATAACCATAAAAACAAAGCTGATGCAGAGCCTTGCTTATGAGGGCAGAGCCTTGCTTATGAGGGCAGAGCCTCTCCCTCCCTCCTTCCACTTTTACTTGGATTTAGCTGTTTTAAAGAGAATGATAATTTGGCTTGGATTTGAGGTCTTCCTGTCCCCAAGGAGGACTAAAGGCCATACATGTTGATCCATACATGCTGGGAAATTTGAGGAGTAACTCAAACTTTTATGGCTCCATAAAAGTCTCTGTCCTACCTGTTTCCATGTGGGTTAAGAGGTGCTAACTTGGGTAGGTTCAAAATGGGAAAGAGATGAGAGTGTGACTTTGTGGGCTGAAACATTTTGACCAATTCAATTTACCATCATTGTTGCTACACTTAAAAATCCAATGATTTTTTAAATGACATTAATGTTAGCTAATATAAATATTTGATATATTGTACAAAGATATTTGCTGTATTAATGACTGCAGTTAAATTGACTCATTTAGTGAATGTTTTTTTAAAATTCCTATAATAGCACATTGTTGTGGTTATAAAGGCATGCTGTATGTCTTAATACCTGGTACCTAGTAGATGCTTAATGATTTGTTAAACTAATTTAAAGTGAAGCAAATTTTATTAAAAGCTCCTATAAAATGGGGCTTACAATGTACTGGGTAAGAGGTAACCGCCAGAAGTTAAATATAATTCCATCATTCTGAATATATTTGACGAAGTTCTATGGATGAGGAACCAAAAAAATCAATAAATATTTAAGTGCAAAGGCAAATAATTATCAAGGCGATAACAGAGACATAGTTCTAGAAGGACTTTTATGACTCTTTGGGGAAAGTGAGAGTTGGAGGAGGGAGAGAAATTTGAATAATACCACTTCCACTCGTAAGTGTCTGATACTACATCTTCTGTCTTCAGTCTTCAGCCTGAAATCCATTTTGTGATCTAAAGCCACTTGATTTGCACTATGTAATAATATATATTTGAATGGTAAAGGTAGCAGAGTTCAGAGTACTTCACAGGCTTTTCACAGTACTCATAAGCATTTTGTATAAAGCAGCCTGAAGAAAGTAGACTCTTGAAGAGGAAACATACACCAATACCTACTTTTCCCTAAAATGTTTTATTCATAGAAGCTAGAACTTTCAGAAAGCTCATCTATAGAAAAGAGTGGAAAATTAAACTAACCATATGTAAGACAAACAATGTTTAAAACTCAAATCAGTTGTTGTCTAGATGTTAAATCAGGATCTTTTGTCCCTAATAAACTGAATTGTCTCAGTGACAGATACTTTGAATTAGTCAGGATAATAGAAGACAAATCTTGGTCTACATGTTGTTTGAGTAATTTAATTGCAGAAAATAAATTTTGTCTAAATTCCTTAAGTAGCTAGGAAAAAAACTGAAGAATTTATTTTATTTGTCTCCTATAATTATTATTGTATTAACTATTGCTATAATTCAGGCAAAAGAAAAATTTGTTCTTCAATTATTCACTTTGAATTATTCAAATTTTGTCAGTTTTTTCTTATGATAGGAAATACTAGCCCTTATAATTCGAAAACTTTTATAGTCCAACTAGTCTGCCTCTGAAAGAAAAATAGCTCTTGTAGAGGCTCTTACCACTGGCATTGGCTAGAATGAGGAGATAATTAGATCTGCAAATGTTACAGTGAAATCACTCTTCCCAAATGGTTAGCCTCAACCTTGGGAAAATGTTTAGGTCAGCTCTTAATTTATCCATAGTGGGCATCTCGTCCCTAATGTGTTATAATGGGACATTAGTATGCTCCGAAAGTTAAACATTCGATTTATTTACTGGGAACAACTTAAAAAAAAATGCCGCAGAACGCAATGTGAACTTTTCAGGTTTCTGCTTACCTAAATCTGCTAAGATACTCTTGGAATATAAAGGCATTTTCTAGTTATGCTACATTAGCTAAACACAATAAAAACTAAGTATTTACTTAATTAAGTCAATTTTATCATAAGATATGTCACATTAAATTAGTCACCAGAAACAATATGTTTATCTTTCTATGTTTTTTGTTTAGGGAAAGAATTCTCAGCTTGCATTAATTTTTCTTAAATATGAAAAGTTAGCAGACTTATGTTACTTAAGATAATTTATTTCATTATAACATCAAATAATTGATACAAAGATATAAAACCATTTTGAGGATTTAAATACATTTTATTATACTTTCAAAATATTTGAATATATTTATTTGGGACCTGATTATTATTTCTCAATAGCACATTTAATAAATGGCACCCTGTCTTCATAACAAATCAGATTCTTCAACGTAAAGAATTAGTGCTGGCTGGGCATGGTGACTCACGCCGGTAATCCCAGCACTTTGGGAGGCCGAGGTAGGTGGATCACGAGGTCAGGAGATCAAGACCATCCTGGCTAACACGGAGAAGCCCCGTCTCTACTAAAAATACAAAAAATTAGCCAAGCATGGTGGTACACGCCTGTAGTCCCAGCTACTCAGGAGGCTGAGGCAGGAGTACCACTTGAACCCAGGAGGCAGAGATTGCAGTGAGCTGAGATTGCACCACTGCACTCCAGCCTGGGTGACAGACCGAGACTCTGTCTAAAAAAAAAAAATTATTGCTGTAAACTTAATAAGGAAATTACAGTGCACTTTTATATATTTTACATAAGAAATAAACTTTCATTGGACCTTGGTTCAAGATGACTGACTACAGACACCAGACATCCACCCTCTTCAGAAAGAATAACAAAAATGATAAACATGTAATCACACCTCAAATGGATTATCTGGGAAATGACATCAGAGTCCAATGGAGAACTCACGGGAAACACCTGAGGCACAGAAGGAGAAGGAAGCTAGCAGCCACTTGGCTGAGATTGGCTGAGACCCTGAAGGGGCTCAGTATTGCAGGAAAAGGGTAAGCAAGAGGGCTTCAGTGATTTACAGATCAGCTGCATACTACTGCAATCTGAACGATGAGGAAGCTCTTCTACTCTCACAAACCCTGACACTGTGTTGGTGGTGATTTGGAGACCCTGCAAGGTCACTGCCCCAGACAGATAACTCACACTGGATCACTTACCCACGCACTGAGACCCGAGAGGCTGCAGTAGGGCAGTATTTTGGGAGCATAGCCATCAGAGGACTATAGCTAGCCCTGGGGATCACAGCCCCCATATTTTTATATCCTGGGAGCTCCCCTAACATTTCCCAGTGTCCGCCTGGAGAGCTGCAGTGGGTGGCACAATGCTAACTAGACCTGAAGATGCTACAGGGTCCCCAGGACTCGAGCCCACAGGGAGTACGACTCCCTGGGGAAAGGATGGTGCTGCACAACAGAAAGGTAGCCCCGGGGATGAAGGAAACCAAAGAGCTTGTTTGGCAGAGAGTGAAATCCCCTCCCACAGGCAGAGCAGCCTCTGTGCTCAGGCTTTTGTGTAGAGAACGGGACCCCTCCGCTCCCTTTGAATATGTATTTCTGCAGCTGCCAGAGGCTGGAGGCCGGTGAACTAGAGGTCTACCTGTCTGGGCTATAAGTGTCAACTGCAACCCCACACATGGTTGGCCTCCATGCCTGAGCTTCTGTGGAATCCTGTGGTGCAGCAGCACTGCTGCCAAAGACAGCAGGAGTGCCTGAGAGCTGCTTGTCTGGGGATGTGGGTGTCAACCCTGTATTGCACCCACCACCAACACCAGCCAGTACCACTGGGAGCCAGAGACATCCCATCACTGCTATTGCCATAGCCCACACCACACTATCTACCCAGGGACCCAAGAATCTGCTCACCTGCTGGGCCCACTGCTACCACTACCAGCATCTAAGTAAGCCATTGTGAGACTCAAGAACAGACCCTTCTGGACCCAATAAGAACAAAGCCAACATATGCCACTCTGGGCCTCAAGGACAGGCATTCTCAGCCCACCACTGCTACTCCTGAGGCCAGAAGACTGGCCCACCTGCCATTCTTGTCCCAAGCAAAACTTTACCACAATCTCCACTAATAACTGTACCCTAAGACACTGAGGATTTTACAGATATTAATGACACTATTTATAAACAAATATATCATACAGAGACGACAAAACTGCATATACCCAGAATTGAAGCCAAGTGCCCTATACAACCGACACCACAGATATATCTTCAGGAAAAAGTCCTCTTGTACAAATGTAAACTCAAAAATAAAAAGAAGCAAATGCACGCACATTAAAATAAGGACACAGGAAACATGAAAAAGCAAGGAACTATGACATCGCCAAAGGAATACAATAATTCTCCATTAATAGATCTTAATCAAAAAGAAATTTCTCAAATCCCAGATAAAGAGCTCAAAATTTGAATTTAAAGAAGCTCAATGAGATACAAAAGAATTCTTAAAAACAATTTAGGATATGACTGAAAAATTCATCAAAGAGATTTTTTTAAAAAAGGAACCAGACAGAAATTCTGAAAATGAAGAATTCATTGAAAGAAATAGAGAATATATTTGAAACCATCAACAATAGACTAGATCTGACAGAAGAAAAAATCTGAGAACTTCAAGACTGGTCTTTTGAAATAATCCAGGCAGAATAGAATAAAGGGAAAAAGAACAGAAAAGAGTGAGCAAAGTCTTAATGACATTTGTGAGAAAACAAAAAGATTGAATATTTAAAATTGTCAGCATCCTGGAGCGCAAAGAGGCAAGGAAAGCATTAGAAATTCTATTTAATGAAATAGATGAAAAGTTTAGCAAAAAAGTAAAAAAAAAAAAGTCGAAGTCTAGCAAAAAAAGAGAAATTAACATTCAAACACAGGAAGCTCAGTGATCTCTAGGAGGATGTAATGCAAAAATGTCTCCCCCAAAGCACATTCTGCTTAGACTGTCTAAAATTAAAGATAGGATGAATTCTAATAACAGCAAAAGAAAAGCATCCAGACACCTATAAAGGAAACCCCATTAGACTAAGAGCAAACTTCTCAACAGAAATTTTACAGCCAAGAAGAGAATGGAATATTATATTTAAAGTACTGAAAAAAAACTAGCAGCTGAGAATACTATTTTTATAAAATTATCCTTCATAAAAGAAGAAATAAAGTATTTCCCAGCCAAGCAAATGCTGAGAAAATTCATTAGCACATACCATTAGCACACACCACAGCTACGAGAACTCCTCAAGGGAGTCCTAAACCTGGGAATGAAAGGACAGCATTTATTATTATAAAAACATACAAAAATATAAAACTCACTGGCAAAGCCATCACACAATAAAGGAAGGGAAAGAACTCAATTAATACCACTTCAGAAACCCAACAAACTATGACAACAACCAATAGGAGAAAAGGGAAGGAATAGAGAACATAAAAACAACCAAAAAACAATTAACAATATGACAGGAGAACAAAGCATCACATATCAATAATAGCCTTGAATATAAATATATTAAGTTATCTGCTTAAAAGATCCAGGATGGCTGAATTAATTAAACAGCATGATAAAACTATATGCTGCTTACAAGAAACTCACCTTACTAATAAATACGCATAGACTAAAAGCAAAAAGATGGAAAAAGATGTTTCATACAAATAGGAACCAAAAATAAGCCACAATAGCTATATTTAGATAAAAACAGACTTTACCTCAAGAATAATGAAAAACAAAAACTTCATTATATAATGACAAATGGGTCAATCCAGCAAGAGGATATAGTAATTCTAAATATATATGTACCTAATAATGGAGCACCCAGATTTATAAAGTAAATATTCCCATATCTAATGAGTGAAATAGACTGCAATGCCATAATAGTAGGGAACGTCAATATTCCATTCTCAGCAGTAGACAGATCATCTAGACAGAAAATCAACAAACAAATATTAGATTTAAACTAGACATCAGAGTAAATGAACTTAACAGTTACAGAACATTCTATCAAACAAATGAAGACTATATATTATTTTCCTCAGCACATGAAACATTCTACAGGATAGACCATATGTTAGGTACAAAAAAAAAACTCAACAAACTTTCAAAAAATGAAATTATATCAAGTATCTTCTCAAACCACAATGGAATAAAACTAGAAATCAATACCAAAAGAAATGTTGGAAACTAAACAAATAAATGGAAAATAAGCATGATCCTGAATGACCATTAGGTTAGTGATGAATATTTTTAAAATGTTTTGATACTAATAAAAATTGAAACACCGCATACCAAAACCTGAGGAATACAGCAGAAGCAATGCTAAGATGGAAATTTATAATAATAAATGCCTACATCAAAAAAGTAAAAGGATTACAAAACAGCAATCTAACAATGCATCCCAAGGAGCTAGAAAGGCCAAAACAAACTAAACCTAAAATTAGTGGAAGAAAAGAAATAATAAAGATTAGACTAGAACTAAATAAAACAAGATAAAAAATTAATGCAAAATATCAATGAAACAAAAATTGATTCTTAAAAATATAAACTAAATGGATAAACCAGTAGCTAGACTAACCAAAAAAAGAGCAATGACTCAGTAAACAATATCAGAAATGAAAAAATAAGACATTATAACTGATCCCACAGAAATAAAAAAATCATCAGATACAATTATAAACAATTATGTGCTCATACCCTAAAAACCCTAGTGAAAATAGATACAATCCCGGAAACATTCAATCTCCTAAGATTAAATTATGAAGAAATAGAAAACTTGAACAGATTATAATGAGTAGTGAGATTGAATCCATGGTAAAAAGTATCCCAACAAAGAAAAGTCCAGGACCAGATGGATTCACAGTCAAATTCTACCAAATATTCAAAGGAGAACTAATATCAATCTTCCTGAAACTATTCCAAGAACAATTGAAGAGGAGAAAACTCTCCTTACTCATTCTGTGACGCATGCATTACTCTGATACCAAAACCAGGCAAGGACACACACACACACACACTCACACACACACACACACACACACTCACACACACACACACTACAAGCGAATATCCTTAATGAACATGGATTAGTCCATTCTTGCACAGCTATAAGGAACTATCTAAGACTGGGTAATTTATAAAGAAAAGGGGTTTAGTTGGCTCACAGCATTGCAGACTGTACAGGAAGCACAGCTGGGGAGGCCTCAGGAAACTTTCAGTCATGACAGAAGAGGAAGCAGGCACCATCTTTACCCAGCAGAGCAGGAGGGAGAGAGTGAAGGGGGAGACGCTATACACTTTTAAACAATGAGATCACTTGAGAACGCACTCACTGTCATGAGAACAGCAAGAGGGAAGTCCACCCCCATGTTCCAATCACCTACCAGGCCCCTCCTCCAACATTGGGGATTACAATATGACATGAGATTTGGATGGGGACACAATTTCAAACCATATCAGGACATATACACGCAAAAAAATTTGACAAAATACTAGTAAGCTGAATCTAACAGCACATCAAAAATAATACTGTACAATCAAGTGGATTTATACCAGACATACAAGAATAGTTCAACATATAAAAGTCAATAAATACGGTACAGGAAGAAAAAACATATGATCACCTCAATAGATACAGAAAAAGCAACTGATAAAATTCAACATCCCTTCATGATAATAACTCTTAACAAACTAGGCATGGAAGAAACATACCTCCAAATAATAAAGGCTTATAAGACAAGCCAAGAGCTAATTTTATACTGAATCCAGAAAAGTTGGAAGTCTTCTCTTTTAAGAACTGGACCAAGAAGTTACGCTCACTCTCACCACTGCTATTCAACAAAGTGTGCACTGAGAGTCCTAGCCAGAGCAATCACGTAAGATAAAGAAATAGAAGATATTCAGGTTGGAAAAGAGAAAGTCAAATTGTCCCTCTTTGCAATGATATGATCTTATATTTAGAAAGCCTAAAGACTCCACCAAAATATTCTCAGAATTAATCAACAAATTTATTACAGTTGCAGGATATAAAATAAAGATACAAAATCAGTAATGTTTCTATATACCAATAAGGATCTAGCTGAGAAAGAAATCAAGAAGTCAATACCAGTTACAATAACAATAAATAAATAAATAAACCTAAATAAATACATAAATAAATAAATGTGAAAGATCTCTATAAGGAAAATCACAAAACACTGATGAGATAAATTGAAGATAACACATGAAAAAAGAAAAAACATGTCATGCTCAAAGATCTGAATAATTATTGTCTTTATTGTCTTTAAAATGGCCATATTGCTGAAAGAAATCAATAGATTCAATGCAATCCTTATCAAAATACCAATGTCATTCTTGACAGAATTATTAAAACTTATTCCTATAATTTGTATGGAACTGAAAAAAAAAGCCAAAATAGCCAAAGCAATTCTAAGCAAAAACACAAGGCTGGAGGCATGACATTATGTAACTTCTAAATACATTACAAGGCTGGGCTGTAGTAACCAAAACAGCATGACACTAGTGTAAAAACAGACACATGAACTGACATGATTTGATTTTGTGTCCACACTCAAACCTCATGTCAAATTGTAATGCTCAGTGTTGAAGGAGAGGCTTGGTGGGAGGTGACTGGATCATGGCGGTGGATTTTTCCCTTGCTGTTCTCATGATAGTGAGTTCTCAGGAGATATGGTTATTTAAAAGTGTGCGGCACTTCCCCCTTCACTTTCTTCCTCCTGCTCCAGCCATGTAAGACACAACTCCTGCCTCTTTGCCTTTTGCCATGATTGTAAATTCCCTGAGGCCTCCCAACCACGATTCCTATACAGCCTGCAGAACTATGAGCCAATTAAACCTCTTTTCTTCATAAAATGCAGTCTCAGGTAGTTCTTTATGGTAATATGAGAATGGACTAATACAGAAAATTGGTACTGAGGGTGAGGCATTGCCTATCTTTATATCTTTATAAGATATCTGAAAATTTGGAAGCAACTATGGAACTGGGTAACAGACAGAGGTTGGTACAGTTTAGAGGGCTCAGAAGAAGACAGGAAGATGAGGAAAAGTTTGAAACTTCCTAGAGATGTTTTAAATTGTTGTGACCAGAATACTGATAGTGACGTGGTCAATGAAATCCAGGCTGAAGGTGGTCTCAGATGAAAATGAGAAACTTATTGGGAACTGGATTATAGGTCCCTCTTGCTATGCTTTAGCAAAAAGACTAGCAGCATTGTGGCCCTGCTCTAGATATCTGTGGAACTTTGAAATCGAGAGTGATGATTCAGGGTATCTGGTAGAAGAAATTTCCAAGTAGCAACATGTTCAAGAAGTAGCCTGCCTGTTTCTAATAGCATATGGCCATGTGCATGAGCAAAGAGATTATCTGAAGCTGGAACTTATATTTAACAAGGAAGCAGAGCATAAAAGTTTAGAAAATTTGTAGCCTGACCATGTGGTAGAAAAGAAAAATCAACTTTTCTGGGGAGGAATTCAAGCTGGCTGCAGAAATTTGCACAATAAAGAGGAGCTGAATGTTAATAACCAAGACAATGGGGAAAATGCCTTGAAGGCATTTCAGAAAGCTTCCCTTGTACCCCATAAATGTGTGCAAATAGAAAAATGGAATAAACTATTATTTTAGACTTCACATCACATCACTCGTTTTATCCACCTTATACAGTTTCATAGCACAATCGTCATAAGCATAAGTTGAATTATCTGTCTTCCTCTATAAATTTTAAGCTTCTTAAGGACAAGGACCATGTAATTCATCTCGTATAATGTTGGGTCCCCAAAACACAACACAGCTCCTAGAACCAAGTAGGTTTTCAGTAACTATTTGATAAATTGAGTTAAAAAGAGAAATGAGAGCAGACATTACAGAAGTCTTGCAGACAATTTACACTTCCAGTGCAGCTCTTATAAGCCTATACCATTAATGTTGACAGATATCAATTCCTGGCTTCTAAACTTAGGCTATTGTTCACTCTGATTTTAAATAAAAGCTAGGCATTTCCCTAAACCTTATTTGTGGAACCCTCATTTTTAAATCCTGCAACATTTGAATTTGGGCTAGTTATTATTTAGAATTTTTTTTAATTAACCTATCACCTGCTAATATTATGCATTTTTATGTGATATGTAAATAAAGGATCTTATTTAAACTTTTTCTTAAATATTAGGTTAGTGCAAAAGTAATAGTTGTTTTTGCAATACTTTTAACGGCAAAAACGCAGTAATTTTTGAACAAACCTAATATAAAGATACTTTAATTGATTAATGGAGATCACAATGTTTCTAAATAATTTTTCTTTGGGCACATAATAAAAAAAGTCTAATCACATTCTCAAACAATAATTGGAAGCTATTGGTTTTCATTGAATAACTGAAATCGTATTATTTTGTCATTTTATAAATGTTACCTTCTTGATTTGAAACTCATTTAAATTTTTATTCTATGTCATTAAATTTTAAACATATCTTAGCCTTTTGATTATTGTTTACAAATTTGTTCTGCTTTCGCCATTTTACTCCAATTACTTTACTGTATGTATGGTTGTTACTATTATTATTTGCAACTGGCATTCAAGTTTAAGGAATAAAAGAAAAACAAATATTTTGGTTGTAAAGCTCTGTGTGTGTGTGTGTGTGTATGTGTGTAACAGAGAGAGAGAGAGAAATATATCAGTCTAGAACATCATTTCTTGAACAGCCTCTCTTTTTCTGGTCAATTTTATTCTTCTCTCTTTCTAATAATTGTTTTAATCTTGATCAATTAAATTATTTTTATTGTCTTTTAGAAACAATTTAATGTTTCTCAAGAATGTTTCTAAAGTATGATCATTGTTCTTTGATATAGTTGGATAAAATCTCAGCCCAACTTTTTTTCATAGCCAATGTTTTGTGACCTTTCATTCTTGTGTGTCTGTCATAATTGGTAAAATAATGCATACCATCTTTTCCTGGAAGCATTCATTTTATCAAACCTAATTAGTGCATTCTCTGTGGTACTTTAGATACAGAAGAGAGCTCAATGTGTAAGTACCCCATTGCACATTTTTATCTCTGTGATAAAGTGCTCTTTATGTGACTTCATGCGTTCCTGAAGTTTGTGTCTCTAGGTGCAATCCCAAAACAAATTCAAACATAGGGGAAAGGGAATAGTCATTTATTCAATGAACCAATAGTTCTTGAGCATGTACCCTTTGCCTAGCAATATTCTAAACTCCAGAGATATATCAGTGAAAGAAATAGACAAAAACCAAGACTTCATGGAGCTTTGTCTGTATGCCTTGATGTCCAGTAGAACTTTCTGTGATGATGAAAATACCCTACATATGCACATACTGTAGTTAGCCACTATGTGGTTATTGAACACTTAAGATATAATTAGTCTGACTAAAAAACAAACTTGCAATTGTATTTAATTTTACAAAATTTACCTTTGAATCACCACATGTGGCTAGTAGTTTCCGTGTGGCACAGCATGGTCCTATACTTTATGTATAAGCATTTTTAGGAGTTGAGTAGGGGAGAGGAAGTTGTATGAATATGATATAAGAGATTAAAATTGATAAGGGAGGAAGAAGTCAAAAGAGACCTCTTCCTTCAGACTTTATAGTCCATTGAAAGACTTAGAGGCTAGTTGAAGTGATTTTGAGAGCTATGAGATATATGAGTCCCTGAAATACATAATTAAGAACAAAATGGTCTTTTTACTGACAGGCAACCACGTTGATGTCACAGTTAATGCCTGAACACCAGTAAATGTCCACATACAGTAGAATAATTACAAAAAGTCATTAATTAGGGCCTATTTACTGTTCCATTGTAAAAACTAATTGCCCGGAGTGAGACGTTCCCTCTTGATTCGTAGGTTTACACAGGCAAGGCCAAATCTGTAAAGGCTAATCTCTGTTTCCCAGGAAAAGTGCTTCAATTTTTGGTAACAGTTAACAGCCATATTTTGTGTTCTGGCCATGTGGGTCAGGCCTTACTGCTACAATAAGAACAGTACATTGAATTTTGGACAATAAACAGATGATCCACCGAAATACCACTTCTTTTATGAAGGTACAACTCTTTTTTTAAAAAAAGAAACTTCTATTTGTTATCTAATTGCTGCTTTTATTTTGGAAACTTCAGCCAAAAAGTAACATGGAATTATTGTGAAAAACATAATACCCTCTTTTGTTTAGGTTGCTGTGTGTTCACTACACGATTCAACAATTTTATCCACCTTAATTCAATTTTAAATTTTCTTTTGGGTGGTTTGGTTTCCATAGAATCCAGGCTGCAGTGACTTACTGGGGCCTTCAGTGTTGGGGACACATTAAAGCAGCTACATAGTTCACCAGCAAAGCTGGATGCTTTCCCTGATCTAGTTATAACTAATATACCCTTCCTCCAAGCTGCTAAAGCTTATTCTTTATTCCTCTTTTTAGCACTTGAAACAGTTTTCCTCTTAAATAAGGGCATTTTTTTTTTTTTTTTGAGACGGAATCTCACTGCGTCGCCCAGACTGGAGTGCAATGGCGTGATCTTGGCTCACTGCAACCTCTGCCTCCTGAGTTCAAGCGATTTTCCTGCCTCAGCCTCCCGAGTAGCTGAGATTACAGACATCTGCCACCACGAATGGCTAATTTTTGTATTTTTAGTACAGACGGGGTTTCACTATGTTGGTCAGGCTGGTCTCGGACTCTTGGCTTCAGGCGATCCACCTGCCTTGGCCTCCCAAAGTGTTGGGATTACAGCTGTAAGTCACCGCACCCAGCCGAATAATGGCATTTTTAATGCTTATTTGTTCCATTGAACAACTTTAGAATTGAAACAGATATTACTCAACTTCAAATCTGTCCCAATCCAGGAATTAAATACAAGCTTATTGAATAAATACAGGAATCAAAGAACATTTGAATCTCCTAAATTTTGTATTTTTATTAAAAAATGGAAGCTTAAATAACAATTTTACATACTTTCACTCTCATGAACATATTATAATGACTGTCAGTAGATTATAAAGAGCCCTAATTTCACAATTAAAAATGTCTTTCCCCTGAGAGCAGCAAGGAATATTATTCAATATTTTAGTGCTAAATGTTTAGTGTTTGTCAGCAATTTGTAATAGTGGGAGTGGAGATGGACATAAAATCCTTTGTTGGAGGGGAGACTTTAATCCACTTTTGAGAATAATTAACAAAACCATTATCTATCACTCCAATGTGTTGTGGTAATAAAAATGGAGGACATTATGTATCTATCTATCTATATTCATATATATATATATATATATACACACACATACATTTTTCTGATTGTTCTTGCTATACTGTACAGAGGGTTTTTGTTTTGTTTTGTTTTGTTTTGTTTTTTTTACAGAGTCTCACTCTGTTGCCCAGGCTGAAGTGCAGTGATGCAATCTCAGCTCCCTGCAATCTCTGCCTCCTGTGTTCAAGCAATTCTTATGCCTCAGCCTGCTGAGTAGCTGAGATTACAGGCCCACATCACCACACCCAGCTATTTTTGTATTTTTAGTAGACACAGGGTTTTTCCATGTTGGCCAGGGTGGTCTCGAACTCCTGACCTCAAGTGATCCACCCGCCTTGACCTCCCAAAGAGCTGGGATTACAGGCATGAGCCACCATTCCCAGCCTGCTATGCTATACTTCTAATAAAAAGGGAAATCTGAATGAATGTGAAAAGGGTTTTCTACATTTCCTAGACCACTTTTTTAA
Organism: Homo sapiens; assembly: GCF_000001405.40. Taxonomy (NCBI): domain Eukaryota; kingdom Metazoa; phylum Chordata; class Mammalia; order Primates; family Hominidae; genus Homo; species Homo sapiens. The sequence continues at coordinate 81,135,906 of NC_000003.12, forward strand.
AAAATTCTTTTGAGTCCTCCAAGTAGTTGCCAAGAGTTGGATATATGAGAGATTTGCTCAGAGCTGCCTAAGGAGAGTAAGGCCTTTAGTGAAAGCTAAAGTAAATCCTGAATGTATGGTAACTAGAGATTGTTAGTTAAGTATATATTCACAGCAGGTCCTTTGTGTAAAGGAGGTCTGAATGACACTTTCCACAGCTACTACAACCTTCAACCACCCTAACAAGAGGAAGGGTAGATCTGCCATCCCAAAACAGTCCTACTTACAAAATCTTAGTAACTACCATTAAACAATTCCATGTTAAAACCATTCTGGATTAAAGGAAATTTAAGGGACATAACTTCAGCATGTTTAGATGCTGGTTTTAACAAACAGTTTAAAATAAAAACAGCTAAAAATATTTGCTAGACAATTGGTAACATCTGAATATAGAGTATATATTCAATAAATTTAGGAAAATATTATTAACTTTTAGATGAGTTAATATTATAGTTAAACAGGGAATATTTATGTTTATTGTAAATGTGTACTGTAATTTTTGAGGCCAAAATGCCATGATAACATTAGTCATCAATAGATCAGCCAAAAATGTAACAAATTAAGTCCAAATGTTAACAGTTGTTAAATAAAAGTTATCAGTACAGATTTGGTTATTAAATATTGTGCCTAATGCAGTGTATGTTTGGATACTTCAAAATAAGGATTTTAAAGAAAAATGAAAGCAAAAATATTTCAACCCAAAGAAGAGGCATAACAAGTAATAATTTTTTCTTCAACTTTTAAGTTCTGAGGTACATGTGCAGGATGTGCAGGTTTGTTACATAGGTAAATATGTGCCATGGTGTTTTGCTGCACAGATCAACCCATCACCCAGGTATCAGGCCCAGCACCCATTAGCTATTCTTCCTGGTGCCCTCCCACCCCCTCACCCCCACCACAGGCCCCAGAAAGTGTTGTTCCCCCTAATGTGTCCATGTGTTTTCATCCTTCAGCTCCCACTTAGAACATGAGGTGTTTGGTTTTCTGTTTCTGTGTTAGTTTGAATAAAGGTAAATTGTACTGCTCTTGATTCTCAGCAAAATTCAAATAAAGAAATTCGGAACCTGTGGATGAAACCATTTTAAATGTTAATTTTTATTTCAAAAAGAGAATCTTTGTGAAATAGGCATTAATTACTGTTATAGAGTGGTCGACAGAATAACAGTTCCTGTGTTTCCAGATTTATGTATTGCAGAAGTTATAATCTGTGCTTAGTTTTAATATTAACATTTTCCTGCTTAGCATAAACACTCAAAACATATGACTAAGGTAAACTATTTAGAAAGTTTTACAATAGATTACATAGTAAGAGAATTATGTAATTCTCTTACTAAATTATGTAATTCTCTAACTAAAAAAGATGCTATTTTAATCGAAAGTTAGCATTGTGGTTACAGAGTGGCTTTCTACTAACAGGTTTACATACGTATCATATTAAAAACATCATCGTTTTCATCCAAATTAATGCTTTCAGTAAAAGGTCTGAATTTACAAGCACAGTTTGAGATGACTGAAAAATGCCGATCATATATAGGAAAATACACAAAGTTGTCTGAGATTCTACAGGGAAATTAATGTGGCCAATAACAAAACAGTTTTATTCCCGATGTGGTTTTTTTGCAGAAGTAGTTTGTGTACCACGAGTAAAGGGATTTTGTTCAGGCACCCTGCTCAGAATGATGAAGCTAAATGATCAGTCCCACATCTAATAACTAAGTTGAATTTTCTCTTCCAAGTAACATAACAGATTTTCAATAGTAGCCATGTTTCAAGCTTTGCAGAAATCCTAAATACCATTTGAATTGATAAAGATGTAACTATTTATTGATAATACAAAATATCTATTTTATGTTATCTTGGTTATTATTCTTTGCTATGCTCAACTCAACTCTGCTTATATGTATTAGATCCATATCCCTTATGTAGTGTAACCTAGTAATCAAATACTCACTAGTACTTCAGTGCCTACCAAACACTATTTTTCCCCTCCGCTGGCAGAAACAAGTACGAGTGCAATATATTTATTCATTTATTCATTCTCTCAGTCATTAATACATTCTTTCAACATTTCAATATTATGCTATATTCTAATAATCTAAAAATAATCAAGGCACCCTTATGGAGTTACATAAGGAGAAGACAAACTATTGATTTTTAATACAAAAAAAAAAGCACTATTATAGAGGTAGGCTGAGGCCCTCACCTGTTGCATTTCCCCAATTATAGGACCACCTCTCCCTGCCAAGAAATTCCATACTTTTAGATCCAAGCTTCCTGGCGTCTAAGCCATTTGTTATTATTTTTTCCGGGTCATTGCATCGAAACCATGTTCAAGGTTGGTAGGTCCATGCTACAAAAATAAAAATCAAAATGCCCATGTTGATTTTTATTCCTTTTAATTCTGGCTTCCTTGATTTTGTACAAGGTCTCTTCTGCTCACTTTCTATTCCTCCTGAAGGGATACCAATAATAGCAAATTTTCATGTACCTTAACTTGCTGTATAATGTTCTGTGCATGGAGGATGTGTTCTAGCCCATCTTCTCATTATCATTTCCTCTCGTCCCTCACACTCATTTCTAATCAAGGCAATATTCTCTTTTCAGAGAATATTTGCTTTATATGTGTCCATATTCAAGGAAACTAGAAACTTTGTACAATACACTAATGTCTACTGTAACTTTGAACAAAGAACTCAAGAAAGGCAAGGAGACTAAAGCTCCTTCATAATAATATAAGAGTGGAGTGACAGATGTTTGGATTATTAACCATTCCCCAGCACTGTACATAGAATTATGGTAAGAGAAAGGACAGACAACTTTTAACGCTTTTTGATAAATTCAGGTAAGGCTCTTCCTAGAATCTAAGGAGGAGTACATCTACTTGTACAGCAAAGGATATTTCTAGAAAATAAAATGACTTTTTCTTGTAAAGAAAGACAAAAAGTGTTCTGTATTGAGAATGGCACATGATATATTATTGTTGAAATATGACTTTTGTTGGAGAGTTTTAGGAAATTAATCCAGACAAGTGGCAAGTACCAGCTAATGAAGGACATTGTACCAAGCAAATAAATTTAGATTTTAAGTTATGTATGAGGATGTGCCATAAATAATTTTAAGCAGAAAATAACATGATTTAAATTGGAATTTAGAAAGATCATCCTTACTCAATAGTAAAGGATGAATAGATAGTTCAGAATCTATGAAGATAAAAGTACCTAGCATAGAGATTAATAAAATCTGGAAACATATGATTTATTTTATTTTTACTCTCACAATGTCTCTATTAGACAGAAATATACAGACATGAGTTATGCATATCCCAATAGAAAAGAACAGCCACAACAAAACCAGTGAAATGGTGGTAGATGATTTTTTAAATGTGTTTGTTTCATAGTAATTTTCCAGCAAATCTAGCATGCTGAATTTAGGCTTTATCCATAGCACATATCCAGGCAAATATCTGTGTCCCATTCCTGTCAGGTATCTCACCAGCAATCTGACAGCAGCAACCCAACTGAGGATCAAAGATATGCACTCAATCTTTTATTCTAAGAGATTTCAATTCTTAATACATCCTTAAAGTTTTCTTTAATAAATATAATAAAGTATAATTTGTAGGTAAGACACATTTTATCTTTATTTTTGCTTTTCATTATCTACTTTACTTACCTATTTAGTTGTTTTCATGGCTGCATGGCTGGTCTAATTCCACAACATATGGGAAAAACTCAACAGCAAGAAATGTATAAAATTAACTCTAAATTTAAAGTCAAAATGGGCATTGAGATATGTCAGCGCTGTAAGATGAAAGGAATCACAGTATGCAAATACATAAGACCAAAACCTCAACACACCTGCTAGAATTGATCCACACTTTGGATCTTAGCTCCCTGTTGATCAAACAGGAAGAAAAATACTGCCAGTTACAAAAATGTTCATTGTCAATGGACCACACTCCAGCGTCTCAGGTAAACAAAGCTTTTCTTACTACATGGCTCTAAAGTTAACTTCTCTTATACAGCTAGCATTAGACATTGCTTAAGACATTTGTTGGCTTTTGATAAATCACTATGATTTTATTTTCAGTTTATAACATTAAATAATGATATTCCTGGCAAACTCTTCTGAGAGAAGCTAAATTACATGTTAAAGGGCAAATGTTTAGTCTATAGTAGTTAAATAACTCTTTATTTTGCAAGGCGAGGTAGAGATTATGAAATTAGTATCACTTGGATCACCAGTCTATATATATTATATTCTACCCCAGTAACGTACAATCAATAAAGATTTATTGACCAACAACAATTTTTTAAATGTTATACTAAAAAAAATTGCTTTTCAGATATTTTAATAAATTATTATACAAATAAAACTGAGCATGATAACTTTATTAAGGCTTTTGTTACTATCAATAAGAGACATCACATATGACCACAAAAACATCATAAAAAGAAAAATTGGTTCAAACAGGTGCGAATGAGAGTATAAGTTTTTACATTTTCTCCATGCAAACAATCCCTTTTTAATCTTGCATAATGGTAATATTGCTAAGATAAAAATAACCAATGCTCTTTAGGAATTGCAAACAAAACAATAAGCAATGTAAAACAAAGGAAGTAATAAATGCTAAAGATTTCTAGATAAAGAAAAATCAGTGAGAAGCCACTTGTCATCTGAAGATACAGAAGGTAGGTATTGATTTATCGAAGGGTTAAATAAATTTAAAAGAGGTTTAAAGACAATAACAAGTAAACATATAGATGATAGTTCTATAGCCATCACTAAATGAAATGAAGAAAGAAGGAAGGAAGGAAACAATGAGAGAGTGAGAGAGAGACACGAAGGATGGAAAAAAGGAAGGAAGGAAGGAAGGGAGGGAGAATGAGGAAGGAAGGAAGGAAGAAAGGAAGGAAGGGAGGGAGGGAGGAAGGAAGGAATAAAGAAGGGAGGAAGAAAGAAAAAGAAAGGGAGAAGGGAAGAAGGAAGGAAAGAAAGAGAAAGGGGGGGAATAAGTGAGGAAAAAAAGAAAAAGGAAGAGAAAGAAAGAATATAGAGCATTTATAGAAACATACTGCAATAGATTATCTGAGCAGAACACCTGTAATCAAAACAGCGAAGATAAGAACATACTTTTAAAACTGTGTATTTCCTAATTGTATAGAATTTTACAGCATCTTTGATGAACATCCAGCAAAAGGGCAGGTCAGGCAGTTTTGCTGAAAATATAGAAAAACTTATTCTGGTTATCTCTTTAAGAATATTTAATTGTACATACAACATAATGTAACATTTTCTCAACATTCATTCACAGATTGACTGTAAATTACCTTAATCTTTATGCAGACTAAAAGAACACTGTCATACACTCATAAGTGCATTTGCCTAGAACTTTTCAGCTTCTCTCATGAGTAGTTTAACAGGCATGAAAATTTGTAATTGAAATACTAAAAAGGAAAGAAAGAAAAAGAGAAGAAAGAAAAAGAGAAAGAAAGAAAGAAAGAAAGAAGGAAGGAAGGAAGGAAGGAAGGAAGGAAGGAAGGAAGGAAGGAAAGAAAGAAAGAGAAAGAAAGAAAGAAAGAAAGAAAGAAAGAAAGAAAGAAAGAAAGAAAGAAAGAAAGAAAGAAAGAAAGAAAGAAAGAAAAAGAAAAAGGGAGGGAGGGAGGCAAGGAAGGAAAGGGAAATAAGAATACAGAGCACAGAAATAAAATGAAAGGATCTATTAACATGCATTATTCTTGTGAGTATGTTGACTGGAGAGAAGAAACAGGGCAAGCATTTAAGAAAAACTAAAACTGTTCGTAATCCTTTAGTGTGTGTGATATGATCTCATTTATATAAAATTATAAGCATGTGGGTATGCATAGAGAAAATAGGAAAGTGTATGCATTAAATACTGATGTTTTAAATCAGCACTGAGAAAGCAGAAGCACATCCAAGACTAGCATCATGGCACTGGGGTTGGTGAAGACAGGGCCATAAGATTGGCCTTTTCCTTATACAGTTTAAATCGTTTTATGTCTTTCCTGTGTGTTACTTTTGCAACATAAAAGCTTTAAATAAAAAATAATTTAATAAGCCATACCATTGAGATATCTTGACCATAAAGTCACTTCTTATAAAACACTTTGACAGAACCACACAAATTTAAATAGTAAAGAATAGTCCATGACTAAAAAATTAATAATAGTTTCAGGAAGAAAATTAGTAATTATTTATAAGAACTTAATGCTACATAAAAATTATCATATTAATTTCTACACCAGAACAACTATCAGACTGAATTAATGGTGTGACTTAATCACACAAAGAAGAGGGTCTTTTTAATATTGCCTTGTACTTAGAAAATCATCACTTAACCAGAAGCATGATTTCAAAATATGCAAAAAATAAATGAATCGAGAATCATTGGTAAAAAGGTATGTATGTATATATATATACACACAGATACAGCTTTTGTCATACACATACAAAATGTATAATCTTGTTGATACAATAAAATAATAATCAAATTTCCCATCTCTAAATGAACAATATAAAATATCAGCAAAACACTCAAGCTGGTGGATCTAACTCTGGTATATGCCATTGTAGAAAAATGTAGATATTTCAAACTTGTGTATGGTCCCTAACAATAAATAATCAGTATTTCAGAGTAAAAGAATGTGTCTGAAATTTTCTGTAGATTCTTCTTAATGGTCTTGTGTCAGTTGTTGAGAAACTCATATGTTCCACCTTTTTGCAGGTTTGTGTGTATGTGTGTGCATATACATAGAAAGAGTATAGGGAGACGTGTTTTGAATTTGCCATAGAAGCTAAATTTTTCTCTGCACATAACCTTGCAGAAGATACTTACTAGAGATGCATCTGAGCGAACACCCAAGGCAGCTGACAAGCACATCTGCCCTTCTGTCCAAAAACTCTTTGAAGGGTTAACTCATGTTGATGCTTCTTCCCACCTGGTAGCATGGTATTTAAGGTTAATGGCAATAGTGCTGGTCATCTGAATTGACAAAAAAAAAAAAAAAAAAAAAAAAAAAAAAAGGAGTGTAGTGGAAATACTAGCGATCTAAAACCAAAAAACGTGGTACTGTCAGTAATTCCCTCTTTGTCTTTGGCTCAGCCGATTAACCTCCCTGGACCTCACTTCCTTTGCTGTACAGCAAAAGCTTTGTAATTTAGCAATATTTTACTGACTGAGTTTTAATTTAAAGAAAAACTGGGTCTCTCAAGATGTTACTGGCAGTACAATGGCAAATCAACTTAGAAATTGTTGCTAATCTGATGAGCATGATGGTAGTAAATCTGTGGAGTCATGCCTTAGATAAATCAGTTTAAACGGCTCAATTCCAAATATCTAAAACATTCAGACAATTTTTTAAAATTTGTGCTCATAAATTTTGAGATTTTACAGAATTCAATTTGGGAAATAAGGTGCTAAATTATATCTAATGTTCCCTCCAAGCATAAAATCATAGTCATTTCTCAAAACAGTCATACCAATGCTCACCAGATACATGAAAAAGTACTTAACATCACTAATCATCAGGAAAGTATAAATTAAAGCCACAAAAAGATCTACCTCCACACTTGTTACAATAGCCATTAACAAAAAGACAAAAGATAGCAGTTGGTGAATATATGGAGAGAAGAGAACACTTGTACACTGATGATAGGGATGTAAATTTGTACAGCCAATTTGGGAAACAGTGTGGAAGTTCATCAAAACATTAAAACAGAATCATTATAGGACCCAGCAATCTGACTTCTGGGTCATATCCAAAGAAAATGTAATCATTATGTCAAAGAGATGGCACTCCCATGTTCATTGCAGCATTATTCACAGTAGCCAAGATATGGGATCAACCTAAGTGCCTATCAGCAAAAGGATGGTTAAAGAAAATACTGTATATGTGCAATAGAATAGCATTTAGCTTTAACAATGAAAGGAATTCTACCATGAATGACATTATGGATGAATCCAAAAAACACTGGTAAGTGAAATAAGCCAGATACAGAAAGACAAATAAATGCATGATCTCACTTACATGTGGAATCTAAAATGTCAAGCTCATAGAAGCAGAGGGTAGAATAGTGGTTGCCAGGGTCTAGGAAAGACTGGGAGATTGAGAGAAGTTGGTCAAAGTGTACAAAGTTTTAGTTAGGATGAATAAATTCTGCAGCTCTATTGTACAGCATAGTAACTATAGTTAATAATTACATACTTTATACTTGGAAATTGCTAAGAGAATAGATGTTAAACATTTTGACGGCAAAAACAAAAAAATGTTAAGTATGTGAGAGGACGCATATGTTGACTAGCTTGATTTAAACATTTCACAATGTATATTTATATCAAAACACCATGTTGTATAAGTTATACAATCTTTATCAATTATACCCTTATAAAATAAAAAATTAAAATAATATTTGCCTAGAATATTTAATAATGATTACAAAAATATAACAAAATATATAAAAATGTTGGAAAACTGAGCAAAATAAAAACAAAATTATAGTTTAAACATTTTGAATATTTGGAATTAAATAATTTTAACTGGTTTACCTAAATAGATTATGCAAACTAAGTAGAATAGTTATCACTATTATTTTTCATCCCAAACTTGACACAGTGTTTCATATCTAGCTGTACTCTGGCATGACACAGACTAAGCAAGATGACACCTTGTCATTCATAAAACAAAAAAGAAAAGAAGAGTTTTCTCCCTGAAACTTTTTTCAAAATGCATATTTATTATCTGTTTGACTCTATTGCTGACAATTATTAGAACTATAGTTGATATTTCTCACCCATCCAACTGAAAATCATAAACAGATTGTTTTCTATAAATTGTTCCAACACAGTGTTCACAGGTACTGAATATTTAAGAGTCCAAAATTAATTATTTTCCTGCCCTCTTGAAATATGCCTGATCCCAGAAGATACTGCCATAAAAAGAACTTACTTAATTTATACCAACTTTAAAATAACCTGGCTGTGGCAAAGCATGACCAGACTGCTGCCCGCAGTCACAGTCTTACATTCAGCTTACGTTTAATGAACTACTTTGCTTACATAATGAGTATCTCTCAGCTTCCCTGGACCTGTCCTTTCTTGAACAGTTTCCAAAGCTTTGAGAGTTTAAGCAAAGAAATAGTATGAGGTAGAAAAAATAAATGGTTCCTGATAATTGCTACCTTCGGCACCAAACAGAGGGAATGGTAGACATCAGTGAGCTGACTCTACCTCTGCAGAACATATGCTCACCCAGAGTCAAAGGCAGCACGCAACACCTCTTCAGTGTACACGTTTTTCTTCTGTTTTCTGCTCTGTTAATTTTTTATTTAAATGCAGAGATCTGACTGGAACATCAAAGAATTGCTTTCCATGGAGTGGATATCCAATTATGATGACAATAGTCAGCAAAGAAAAATTAATTTCATGTGAAAAGTGACAAAGCTCAAACAAAATATGACCTTGAATACAGATGCATTCATACTGGGAAAAGAAACTGCCCTTTCTTCTCAGTCACTCACAAGTTAGCTGAGTTACATAGGGAATGTGATGGCTAGTATGTTTATTTTCAATTTTCAACATTTTAAAAACATACGAGTACATTATTTTCCACACCAAACCTGAACTTTTTCATCAAAATGTAATAATATAAGATGGTATTAGACTCCTTGGCCACACTGGATATTCCTCATGTCATCTCAAGCCTTTTTAGTTAGGGAACAGAAAACACTTCATTGTGAGGAAAATGCAAACACAACTTCTAGAAAAAGAAAGAAAGCTGATGCATATGTAGACAGGCAGTGTTGGGGGAGGAAGGGAACTGATCATATAAAGAACAATTGGCAATGTCCAGAGGTTTGTTTTTTATTCTAATGCCATTAAGCCCACTGCAGGTTTTATAAACAAAGGATATCAGGCGGAGAAACCACTTAATCTGCTGTCTGAAAAACAGACATCAGGGCAGAGTGAGGTGATGGTGTCTTGCAGTGGTACAGAAGTACCAGAAATAAGAGAAGTAAAGACATTTAGAATACATGTTTAGTGGTGCTGAAAGATTTGCTCTTGGATTGGATGTTGAGGAGTGGAGTCAGTTCTGTTAATCAATTATGATTCCTTAGACCATTTCCTGTTAGATTCCAAGACAGCATAGTGATCAGGGGAAATTATTAAGCGAATAGATTAGACATAATTATAATCTTAGTTCTTCCACTGGTGAGTTGTGAAGGCTCCCTACACCTGTTTACTCCTTTGCAAAATGGCCTCCACTTTCCCTTTCCTGCTTGAGAATGCGATGAATGTTACACACCTCAATCTCTTACTGCTCATTGTTTTCATGCAACCCCTTTCTCTGTCTTAATTGCATTATACCATACTTGCTCCTATTGAATGTCAGTTCCATTTGTTTCTCATAACTTCTTCAATTTATCAAAGTCAACTGAATCCAATTCTATTCTCCCAAGGTGTTGACCTTCTCTTTCTTTCCCTTTTTGTTTTCCTCCTGTGTACTTCTAATGAGGCACATTTTCTACTCTCTCGTTTAGATTTGGGATTCTTCTTTCAGCATCTGCCTCCACTATTTACTGGCTTTTTCCACGGCCCTTTGACAACAATGCTTGTAAAATGCCTCCCTTCCTCTTGGTGCTGTCTTTGAATGGTTTTAACTTTTAAAACAAAAGGTAGAGTTTTGCTTTCTAATGCTACATTATAGTCAATCTTCTCCACAATACACTGTATCTAAAACACTGGATTCAAGATAAGATTGATCGAACATCACTGGAGAAACTTGAGACTTCGTACTGTATATTCTGACCATTTGAACACAAATTTCACATTGTGATAAATCTTTCAGATGTTGAAAGTAAATTTGCAAGTATGTAATTCCAGGTTCTACAGGTAACAAGCATAGATGGGATAGCTCAAAAATCACGTGTATAATATACATCAAAATCATATATATGTATATGTTATATATCTATTTAAGGCATATTTTATATATATCATTTTTTATCACTTTTGACACTGGTTTGACCATTCTCTCTCTGTATTTGCTTTTACTTAATGCCCGTTTAAAATAGAGGCATAAGTGAAAGGAAAAAACCCAGTATTAAAATGTCTATTTTTTTACAATGCTTTAAGTAAATTTATTCTCTTGTTTCACCTTATAGATACACATATATACATATATCCTATAATAGTAATATAAGTTAATATATAATGCCCTTCACTTGGGTTTAATACATGACCTTTGAATACTAAGTATTTGAATCTTGCAAACTCCCATCTGCAGAGAAATAAATGTCTAATTAAGTGGGGAAAATAATTAAAATAAGACTGACCTTTGCCTAGGATTGCATATTGTATGTTTTTAATTAGAAAAAATTAATATAAACTTGTGAATACAATTATTTAAAAATATCAGTGTGTTTAACTTAATATGATTAACTTTTCTGAATCAATGACTACTTTTTCTTTATTAATGCTAATACATCTAACTGTAAAAGTATGATATTTTACAGCAGTGAGCAATTTTTTATTTCTTGTTGTAGAATTAAATATGAAAGATTTAGCCTGAGTGCTAAAAGAAATCTATTAAACTATCTAAAATTACACTCACAGCATGGGGCAACAGTACAAAATCCAGTATTTCTAATGCCTCTTATGCACAATATATGCAAGTTTATTTCTAACATTTTAAAATATTTTTTAGCTAATCCGTGTCCTAAATAATACATATATAAAGTAGTTTACATACTTGTGTGCTGGTCCTTAAGGTACATTCTTTAAAATAGGACATATAAATTCTTCCAATGTTAGACTCAACTTTATTTCCTTAGGCAAATAAAATCATCAAAGTATATTTACCATGACTAAAAATAGCAATTCTTTATCTGATAAGTATCTTTAATATGACTAAAAACAGTGATTCTTTATATTTTTCAACTTTGTGTCAGTTTATTTTCTTTTTCTTGTGTTTCTATCTTACAGAAATAGAAACTTTAAAATTTATCACTGAGATAAAATAGTGTAGCAATAGTACATATAACATGACTACAATAAGCCATAAAAGATAATACAGTTTTAAAACTCTGAAAATGAAAATTTAAATTCTTTTATTAAGTCTAAGATAACAATCAATCGCTAATTTGGGGAATATGTTCAAAATAACAGCATGCCAATTACTCCGCCCACAGTTCACAGGCACTTTGGGACAATTTTGTGATTGGAATTTCCTTACATACACAATAATACATGTCTCAATTTTGTGACAGGTTTTATAAATTATTTTAGCTGTATAAAATCATGCCTGTCATTCTCAAAATACCAACAAATGAAACATGTATTTTAATCAAGTGAAGACTTCATCATTAAAAGCCTTGAAATAAATACTTGAAAAATGTATTTTTAAAAGCAGTCATTCAGCAAGAAGTCAATTGGTCCTAGAAAGTAAAGTGTAAAGGATGTCTTTGTGAAAAATCATTTATTTATAAAGGGAATGTCATTAAAAGTTGAAAGTAGTGATCATATAAAAGAAACAATTATGGGAGAAAATTATTTTGGGTTACATAATTATATGTGTCCTTGTAGGCTCTTCATCATTTGAGTCACTTACTTGAAAATAGAACTTTGATATTGAAGAAAAAGTATTTTAAGTTTTCATACTATATAGTTCAAACTCTGACCAATTTTTAAAATAATAGTGCTGACAGTTGTATTCCCTTCAATATTGTTTTATATGCTAATAAAACTATCTGCATAGTTTTAGGAAAATATCAGGAAAAACAGGAATGTCAAATAGTTGATGTAAGGTTTTGTATCTGCGCTATCCTATATGGTAGTCACCATTTTAATAATCAAAACTATTAACATTTAAAATAATAAAAATTAAATTAAATTTAAAATTCAGCTTCTCAATTGCAAAAAAAATTTCAAGTAATCACTAGGTCCATGTTACAGTAAGCTACAATATGGGACAGTGAAGATGTAAACAATTCCAGCATTGCAGAATGTTTTCTTGGACAACGTTAAGTTGGACTTTCTACATATCTTGAATTTTTTTTTTTTTTTTTTTTTTTTTTTTGAGATGGAGTTTCACCCTGTCGCCCAGGCTGGAGTGCAGTGGCGCAATCTCGGCTCACTGCAAGCTCCACCTTCCGGGTTCACATCATTCTCCTTCCTCAGCCTCCCGAGTACCTGGGACTACAGGCACCCGCCACCACACCCGGCTAATTTTTTGTATTTTTTAGTAGAGACGGGGTTTCACCGTGTTAGCTAGGATGGTCCTGATCTCCTGACCTCGTGATCTGCCCGCCTCGTCCTCCCAAAGTGCTGGGATTACAGGCGTGAGCCACCACGCCCTGCCATATCTTGAATTTTTTTAATAAAGTGAAGAGTTTTTATTAAATGCCTGGAAATAAATACTTGAAAAATTTATTTTTAAAACAGACATTGAGCAGGAAGTTAATTGCTCCTACAAAGTATAAGAATGTCTTTTTGAAAAGTCATTTATATAAGGAATGTCTTTAAAAGTTGAAAATAGTCATGATATAAAAGAAGCAATATTAGAAGAAAATTATTTTGGAAAGCACAATCATATGTTCCTGTAGGCTCATCACCTATGTGAGTCACCTATTTGAAGGTAGATGAATAAGCTATTTTTTTTCATGTTTTTCCTGGAACTTCTAGACACAAAATAGAATGAGATGAAATAATGTCTTCTTAAAGGTAATAACAATTGAAACCCAGTCAGTTTGGATGTAAAGTCTTTTCGGAAGGCCAGAAAATAGAAGGCCAATGCTAATATGAAATATCAATGCTTTAAAAATGATTCACAGAAAAGAAGTATTCATTTATATTAAAGAAGCAAAGCACATTTTCAAAAATTTTTATAGTTGAGTACCTACATTTATGTGACTTTAGAATGTTTGATATTTTTACTTTAATAGAATATACCTTCCATATTATATTTTACTTTCACCACTGTTAATTTTAAAATAGATAATAAGAACAAGAAAGAAAGTCCTAGGGTAATGAGTTAGAAGAGCATAATTAGCCTGGAATCTGAATATTTTTTTAAAAGTGCAATTTATTGGAAATAATACTCATGTTAATAATTGATATTTAAACACTGAACTTTTGGCTGTTTTTGTTTTTCAAACTTACTTAGAAATAGCAATATTATACACAAGTCTACTTTTGGAGAATGAAGAAATTGATTCTTTACAATTCTTTACAATTAATATTATATGTAATTAGAATTCACAGTTTTTCCAGGTTTTTCTCCTTTCTAAAAATAACAAAATAAATTAACTTTGAAACAAAGATTTTTCTGAACATGTGTATTTACAAAGAAAATAATAGACTTTATACCATCAGTTAGGAATTTGTTTTGTCATCATAGGAGAGAAATAAAAAACGTAATCATATTTTTCACATTTTTGTGATGAGCTAGGCTTTAAGCGATATTTAGAACAACTAAAATGCACTGAAGGATACTGAGAACCACACTACCAACTGATAATGCTAATCCAAGTTTCTCACTAGGTTTGAAGTATAGAATACATTTGCAAAGAATTATTAACAAAAGTCCTTTAGGAGCCTGGCACCATGGCACACGCCTGTGGTACCAGCTACTCAAGAGGCTGAGGTGGAAGGATCACTTGAGCCTAGCTCAAGTATCACCTGAACTTTGAGTTCAGCCTAGAACCTGTCTCTAAAAAATAATTAATTAAATGAAAAACTCTTTTTGAAAGTTCTCTAACCAAAGTTTTGTTAGAAGAGATATAAAACAGAAATCATAAACTTTTAATGATAAGTGAACATTTTTATGGACAAACACAATCACAATCTAATTCTATATTTCTTCTCCCCTAAATCAAAACTATTGATTAAACAGGTGGTAGCATTTGATATTCTACAGACAAGCATGCCAAAGTTTTCAGGGAGTACCACTTTCATCAAGAAATAACATGAACTAGCGATCATATAGCAAATATATGAGCTTTGACCTTTTGCGGTGGGAGAAAAATTATTTGCTTAAAGATGACCTTTTAAAAACATAAACATAAAACATAGCTTCTAGTTATTTTTCATATAAGAATATTTAATGCAAAACATTAAATAATTACTTATTTTATTTTATTTTATTTAGAGACAGGTTCTTGCTTTGTCTCCCAGGTTGGAGTGCAGTGGCACTATCCTGGGTCACTGTAACCTCAAACTCCTGGGCTCAAGCAATTCTCTGGCTCCAGCCTCCCTTGTAGCTAGGACTACAAGTGCAAGCCACCACACCTGGCAATTTTTTTCTTTCTTTTTTTTCTTTTTCTTTCTTTCTTTCTTTTTCTTTTTCTTTCTTTCTTTTTTTTTTTTTTTGCACAGATGGGGTCTCACTATGTTGCCCAGGCTGGTCTCAAACTCCTGGCCTCAAGCCATCCTCCTGCCTTGGCCTCCCAAAGTTCTGGCATAACAGGCATGAACCACCACACTGCACTTAGACAGCTGCACACATGGGATGCAGAAATAGGATGGTCTACTTTGTATGTGCAGAAACTAGATAATCTACTTTCTGTTATATTTGATGGTAATTCCTAGAAAAAAAATTCGGGGGGGGCATTTTATTACAGAATATAATAAAAGCTATTTATGTATATAATTAGTCATCCTGACTTTGATAAGGACTCTCAGTTAATATTGGATTTCTCTCCAGAAATGTGCCTTAATCTCCAGAAAAAAAAAACAAATCCAAGTGTTCCCCCAACTTGAGGTAGACGGTAGAATTAGTAGTAAGCACATATTTCCGTTATGTAGGGGAGAAGAAAAACTTGTCTGACTACTCTCCAAAATGAATATTTCCATCCTTGACACACTAATGAAAATATTATCTGCTATATACCGTCTCCAAATAACTCCTTTTAAGAAGCGAGTATCAGTTAAAAGTAACATGTAAAAACAAAAGAAAAGCCAAGCTAAGACGTCGTTTCCTACATCTCAGGTAAATTAAAAGTCTCTGTCTCTAATATTGCTAGCTAATATATTTTAACTTGAATATTTGTTTTGAAATCTGATCAAAATATAAATTTGGTCTAAGAGAGCTAGTCAGACAGTGGTTGGATATCAATGTAACTATGCCCATTTAATGATGTTTTAAAAACAGTTTTTCCTTAAAGCTTTTCCCTGCTAAAACTATAAAATTTTCTTAAAATTTTGTGTCAATTCACAAACATATCCAAAGAAATCAGTAAGAGGAATTAGAGATTTGAATGGAAAATAAAGTTAACTTGATTTCATTAAAGAAGAAAAAAACAAAAAACAGGATCATTGGTTTACCTTCTCCTCATAGAAGAATTTTAGCAAATTCTTGTGTGGTGACTTAGCAAGGGCAAGATAACGAATCACTTTAGCAACCTTAGAAAGAGGATGTGCTAGCAATTCCCTTATACCCATGATAACTTAGCAGCATGTAAAGATCATAGGACAATGTTGACTAACTGAAATTTTTTTGTCGGATTGTTTACTTCCAAGTAATTTTCTGGTTAAGAGAAGGTTGAAAATAGAACTCACTGGTTCTATTTTTAAAATCTAACTTTGAAAAATATTTGAAAATATGTATTAGTTTGTTTTTTTTTTCCTTGCGTGTCAAAGTACTACTGTTGAGTCATGACTTCTACCCTTGAACAAATATGGGTTCAAATTGAGGCTTCACTCTTCACTTCGTATCTAAGCTTATATACTATACTTATATTTCTTACTCAGTAAAAGTCTAAAACAAATGTTCCTAGTCATCCAGGAATGGATAGTAGGGAGAAGTGTGAAACCTGAGTTGGTAGAGGAATGATCTTCAATTTCTAACTACCAATGTTGTGTGAATGCTGCTCTGCAGTTATTTGAGAGAAGAAAAGAGCATGCAGGATCAAGCATGGAAGTTGTTTCTGTCAATCACAAACCACTTCTGTTCATTATTCCATTGGCTAAAATTTAATTACTTGATCACACCTAACTGTAAGTAGGTTGCGACTTTGTTTGGTTAAGTGGCTAGAAAGAACAAAAATTTATTTATTGAATAGCTAGAAATTTTTGCCATAAATGATGCACTGTTACTTACCACATAGAGCTATGTTATAGATAAAATGGCATAAGGTAAAGTTCAATATTCTCTGTGTGGGGGTTAAAAATATTTGCTATTATTATTAACATCAGTGTTACCATTCTGAACTTCATTTCTCATTATAGAGCTTTCAAGTTGTGAAAGGAACTGTAAATCGGTTAAATATTTACTCTTTCCCAGAGAGTGCCTGAAAATTTCTTTCTAACACTCTGATACAATTTTTTATTTTGATTTAATACAAAGAAAATGAACTTTGGAATTACACTAACTAAAAACTAAACCTCTGATTTCCCATTTAATACCTAAGTCACTACAACCAAATAAATGATTATTGAATATCAGCAAAGAGTAGTTGACCTTGTGCTGTGTTTTAAGAATATGAAGTAAATTGAAGTTTGGTGGAATAAACATTAAGATATGACAATATTTTAAAATAAGTACAATTATAGTGCTAACTTCAGAGTGAATACGGTCAATGTGAAATTTAGACTCTATCATGGGATATCACGTTAAAAGGTTATTGTGCTAATACAGGCAAGAAATGATGGGACTTGAACTTTAGCAGTTGGGGGAGTGGGGGAGAGAAGAGGAAGAAGAGAAAGAAAAAGAAACCCATTTGAAAAACCTTTTAGATGGGGGTTAATAGTACTTAGTTAATCATTGGAAGCTGCACAAATAAAGCAGAATAAGCCAAAGTTGTTTTCAAGATTTACCATCTGATAGATATATATCACCTGAGGAGAGAATACATGAAAAATCCGGTTTAATAGAGAAGATAGTAATTTCAGTCTCAGGTACATAAGTTTGTTTCTAGTAGGAATTACACTGAAAATGTCTTGTTATCAATTAAAAATTATCTGGAAAACAGAAGCAATTCATGTTTAGAGATATACATTTCAAAATAATGAACACGAATGTGAAATATTGGGTGAAAGCTAATAAGAAAAAGCAAGGAAAGGGACTTTGGAGAGTGACTAAGCAGCGCTCATAAGAAGTAAGAAGAAAACTAAAAAAAAAAAAGCACTGAGGATACAGAATCAAATAATGAGACCAACAAAAAGGAGGAAATGATTAACATAAATGCCAGCTGCTATTTTTATTTTGATGTTTATTTTGGCCAGGTATTTTGGAAATGTCATTTTGCAGAAGAACCAAATCAACCAGAGGTCTAGATGGCAGTTGGTTGAGAAATGGAAGCAATCACAGAAAATTGAGGCTGTAAGTACAGAAAAATCATTCAATAACTTTCCTGGAAAAAAGAAGAAAAAAAAATATGGCAGTAATTTAACAAGAAAGCAGGTCAGAAATGTTAACGTTTTTGGATAGAGGATACCTTAATAAGTTTGAAAATTGAGGTGAAAGTCAGTGGGAAAGCAAGATTTACATTACAATGGGGGAAAAGGCAATGTAAAAATTATAAATTTGAAAAGGAATTGAGGTGTTGAAGAGAGTGATGTCAGCAAGATGACTGAATAAAAGCCTCTGGCACTTGTCTCCTCCAACAAAGATAACCAAAACAATCAATGAACAACTACATTTTGGTGAAAATAACAAAAGGAGAGAGTCAGAGTACACCAAAGGATTTACAGAAACCCTATGGTGCACAGAAATTCAAGATGGCCACATGGAGACTAGGAGGAAACCCTTTACCTGTGCCATCCTGTTCCACAGTTGGGATCAGTTCAGAGCCAGGAGCGACTTCTCCCTCTGGGGAAAAGGTAAGCAAGAGCTCAACGGGAACTCTCATAACTCCCTTGGACACTTACAGTTTTCACCACTGGGGACTCCTGCAGTTCTCACAGGTACTAAGCCTAGCTGAGAGAGCTGCTTGAAGTCAACACAGCTGTGCTACCTCCCTACCCCCAAACCGTGGATGGAGCTGATGCTGTTCCCTGACCCCTATGACCCACGGAACTACTGTGCTATGCCATGTTGGCAACGGGACCACACTGAAGTGTGTTCTGCACTGTCGAGTGAGTAACCACATTATCTTCCCACCCCTGAGCTTTGCTGCTGCTGAAACACAACTGCTTGGGAGCCCACCATTCCTAAGCAGAACTGCTCTACACCCGTCTTCATGGGTCCAAGCTGCCACGCAGCTGCTCCATCTACACCATCCAGTAACTGCTACACCCTGACACTCAGGACCTGAGATAAAGGGAAGTGGTGTCTTGGCCGCCTGGAGCAGTCACACTCCCCAGTGCCTACAGTGAGGCAGCATCCTGTCTCTCAGAGAAATAGTGCCTCGGCTTCCCAGAACAGTCATGTCCCTCAATACCTGAGCTAAAGCAGCTCCCTGCATTTTGGGAAATTAGTGCCTTGCCCTCTCAGAGCAGCAATGCCCCCAAGGTCTGAGCTGAAACTAAGCATAACCTATCAGGGAATTGGTGCCCATCCCAGAGATGAGCTGATGTAGTACCTTGTGTCTCAGGGAAACAGAGCATCAACTGAGCTGAGACACACAGTCCCATAGGTCAAAAACTGTAGTACCCCACTTCCCTGGAATTAGGCTAACCCCTTAAAATCTGAGCTGATGAGATACCCATCTCCCTAGGGAAACAGAAGTATGGCTGTGCTTCTCTGTGCCCACTAGGGACCAAGCAATAGCTATACTCCAACATCCTGGGATTTTTGCTACCACTATACCTCGCTTCACAGTGTCCAGGATACTGCTGTTTCCCACCATCCCCGAGTCCAGAGTCACCACAACGTGTTTCCTCCTTCGCCAGACCTGAGTTGCCACTGTGCCCTATTGGCTCTGGTTCCCAAGTTGCAGCCACATCCTGCTCCCCATGAATAAACGTCCAAAGCATCCCTTCTTTCCCAAAGCTAAGCCGGTGTTGTGCCCTGCCTCCCAGGTTTCGAGTCACAGCAACCCAGCTACCAGGGGGTGCCTCAGCATCACAGATGCTGGCTTTGTGAGCAATCTCCATCCAACTCTGCCTTAAAGAGTAAACCTTTTTGGGCAATCTCCATCCAACCCTGCCTTAAAGAGTAAACTTTCACACCAAGACCCAGATGGCAAAATAGTTTCATAAGACCAACAACCCAAGACCCTGTCTTCAGAGCTGCTCTGAGCACCTGTGCCCTGGAACTCATCATTGCTGCAACTGCTTGTAAACTGTGTCAGACTCAACACCAAGAAGAGTCCTTTCAACTAATACTTCACATTGTGAGGAAAATGAAAACAGGAGGACTCCAAAAGCCCGTTTCACCAAGGACCATAACAACCCATGCTGCCACCACTCTGGCCACAAACTCCTACAGTCTAGGCCACTAAGACACCCATAGTCATCACTGATGTAAATTGCAGCTGAAGAACCTGTATTGAAAATATACAACTGCATCCACTCAGAATCAGAGCCACCACACCTTTTTCAACTGGCAAACTAAGATCCACCTACAGGTGCAAGATTTTCCCTGAGAAATATACTCTGTAAACTTTGAAAGGGATTATTGTTTCATCAGATATGCAGACACCAATGCAGGGACACAGGAAACAAGAAAGAGCAAGAAAACATGGCACCACCAAAGGAACACAATAATTCTCTGGTAACTGACACCCCTAGCCTGAGAAGAAATTTAAAAAATGATCTTACGGAAACTCACCAAAATATAAGATAATACAGATAGACAATCAAAATCAGGAAAACAATTCATGATCTGAATGAGAAATTCAACAAAGAAATAATTATCATAAGAAATAACCAAACTGAAATCTTGGAGCTGAAGAATTCAATGAGAAAAATAAAAATACATAATGGAGAGCTTCAACAAGAGACTAAATCAAACAAAAGAATCTCTGAACTTGGAGACACATTTCTAAAAATTACCCAGTCAGAGTGAAAAAAAAAGAAAAAAAGAAAAAAGAGTGAGGACAGCCTTTGGGACTTAGGGAACCCACTAAGCAAACAAACATTCACAATATTAGAGGTAAAGAAGAAAAAGAAACAAAGATAGGGACAGAAAGCTTATTGGACAAACTATTGTTAAAAATTTCCCAAGTCGGCCAGGCCTGGTGGACCATGCCTGTAATCCCAGCACTTTGGGAGGCCGAGGCAGGCAGATCACAAGGTCAAGAGATAGAGACTATCCTGGCTAACATGGTGAAACCTTGTCGCTACTAAAAACACAAAAAGTAGCAGGGCATGGTGGTGTGTGCCTGTAGTCCCAGCTACTCAGGAGGCTGAGGCAGGAGAATCGCTTGAACCCGGGAAGCAGAGGTTGCAGTGAGCTGAGATCGTGCCACTGCACTCCAGCTGGGTGACAGAGCGAGACTCCGTCTCAAAAAAAAAAAAAAAAAAAATTCACAAGTCTTGAAAGAGACATGGACATCCAGATCCATGAAGCTCAGTGATCCCCAAAAAGATTTAACTGGAATATGTCCTTCCTAAGGCACTTTATAATTAAACTGTCAAAATCAAAGACCAAGAGAAAATTTTAAAAGCAGCAACAGAAAAGTGTCAAGTCATATACATGGGAATTCATTAGAATTTCAGTGTATTTCTCAGCAGAAATCTTACAAACCAGAAGAGAATGGGATGATATATTTCAAGTGCTAAAAGAAAAAAAATAATCTGCCAGTCAAGAATATTATACCTAGGAATGCTATCCTTCAAAAGTGAAAGGGAAATAAACTCTTTCCCAGATAAGCAAAAATTGAGAAAATTCAACACCACTACACCTGTCTTACAAGAAATGTCCATAAGAATCCTTCAAGTAAAAACAAAATAATGCTAATTACTAATATGAAAACATATAAAATAAAAGGTAAATATTTTTTCATATCCAGACTACTCTAATACCAATATGGTGCTCTGTAAATCATAAATATAGAGATACATAGATGATAGAAGACAGACAGATAGATTGAAGGTTAAAAGTCAAAATAGTCAAAATAATGACAGCTACAATAAGTTGTTGAAAAATACATAATATAAAAAGATGTAAATGTTTAAATCAAAAAAGAAAAAATTGTGGGTGGGTGGGGGGAGGATAAATGTCCAGGTTTTGAATGCAACTAAAGTTAAGTTGTTATCAGGGTAAAATATCCTATTATTATTATAAGATGTTATATGTAACCCTCATGGTAATCATGATGCACAAACTATAGTAGAGACACAAATGATAAAGAGAAAAGAATTAAAACAGTATTACAGAGAATCACCAAATTACAAAGATAAAAAACAAGAGAGAAAGAAACCAAGGATCTATAAAATAACGAGAAAACAACAAAATGGCAGTGCAGTAGTAAATCCTTAATTATCACTAATTACTTGGAATGTAAATAGATTAAATTCTCCAATCAAAAGACATCAAGTGGCTTAATGAATTAAGAAACACGATCCAAATACATGCTGCTTATAAGAAACACATTTTAACCTTAAGGGCACACATAGGCTAAATGTGAAGGGATGAAATAATATACTTCATGCAAATGATAACCAAAAGAGAGCAGAAGTGGCTATTTTTACATCAGATACAATATTCTTTATGTCAAAACCGTAAAAAAAGCAAAGAATGCAATTATTTAATGATAAAGGGCTCAGCTTATCAAGAGGACATAACAATTTTAAATATATATGCATACGCCCCCAAAATTGGAGCACCTAAATGTATTATGCAAATATTAGTGGACATAAAGGAAAAAATAGACAGCAATGCAATAATAGTAGAGAACTTCAATACCCTGCTTGCAACAATGGGAAGATCAACCAGAGAGAAAATTAACAACGAAATACTGGAATTGAACTGTACTTTAGACAAAACGAACCTAACAGATATAAAGAAAATTTTTCATCAATAATGGTAGATACACATTCTTCTCTAGTGCACATGGAACATGATCCAGCATAGACCATATAGGACACAAAACAAGTGTGAACAAGTTTAAGACTAAAATTATATTAACTGTTGTTTCTGAGCACAATGGTATGAACGTAGAAATCAATAACTGGATAATTTTGGAAAATTCAATAATATATCAATATCCAGACAGACACAGAGAGAGATTTATTATAATAAATTGGCTTACATGATTTAAAGGATTGTAGCTAGCAAAGCAAGTTCAAAATCGATCGAAATTCCCCACTCTCTTTTTCACAAGTTCATGCTTTTAATCCATCTAGATGATTAAATCAGGCCCATGCAGTTTATCCAGTCTCTTTTACTTAAATTCGACTGATTGGGGACTTTGATTATATCTGTCAAATCCCTTCACAGTAGCACCTAGTATAAGTTTGATTGAATAACCTGAAATTGAAGCCTAGTCAGGTTGTTGTATCATAAAAGCTATTATAGTTGATAGATCGGAAGGAAGAAGTAGGCTAAAGACTTATTTTGGACTTATCAGGTTGCAGGTAGTACTTTAAATCATAAGATTACATGATTTCTCCAAGATAAAAAATATAGAGTGAAATATTTTTAAAATGTTTCAATACATTCTGTTATTGAAAACTAATTACCACATCGTGCATTACACACACACACACACACACACACACACACACACACACGGTCATTGCTGCAAACACATGTGAAAGGGTAGAGGTAGGATTTTAGGTGTGCCTCTTCTATTTAACTTATCACTGCAAACTCAAAAGGTATGAATACAGTGACTGACAGTCTCAGGGTCACAAAAGAACGCCACCTTCTGAGGTCACTAGGGGAAAATATACTCAGGTTTAAACCCTCTTTTTCCACTTGCTGTCTCCAAATCAAGAGTCCTTTTATGCTCCCTATCTCTCTCACAATACCTTCTTTGCAACTTAACTTCACTGTATTCCAAGACAGATATGCGATACAGACAGAGGAGGATAAAAGCCACGAAAGAAACCCTACAGGAGAGGCAGAGATGAAGAGGAATGAAGAGATGATGCTAGGGGAGCAGTTTCAGTGTGTGGTGAAAAGGGATTGAGAAGTGAATTAGCAGTAAGTAGAGTAGGCATCTCATGTGGAAGACTCTTCTGAGAAATAAGAAAATCTACTCAAAGGAAAAATAATTCAAATCTGAGAAAGAACGATGTCAAAAGTCTGAATGATGTGAGCTTATTTGAATGCTGAGGGAATTTTTTGCGTTAGAAAGAGTAAGGGTAGAAAAGTGAAGTAGGATTAAGAAAAACAATGAACTCAGTAAGGGAGTGGAGAACCAGAAGAATTTGGACACCTTCAACCGGCCCCTTGATAGTGGGATTATAGGGAAATACAATGCCTCAAATTGAAAGATTTACATAGGTACTATTGTCAGGGACAAAACATTTACCAGCGCACATGTGAAAATAAAAGTAAAATAAAAGGGCTTAAGATGTTTTCTTGGCCTTAGGTATTATGGTGATAACTTAGATTGAATAATATTAGATCACTTGCAGTTGGAAGATAAACAGAAAGGATACAGGAAACAATTGGACCATGTTTTTTTATCTAGCATCTGAGTGTGAAGTTGTGATGTTGTAATTCCATACTCTGCACCATGTTTTTAGCCTATCGTCTTGGTTCTGAGCTACCAAACGAAATGAAATGGGCCATGGCAAGAATTGGTCACCATATTGCCATTGCTATAGCAGCAGAGTGATGAGGAAAGGGGAAATGTCAAGATTTCCCAATCTAATAATAATTACCTTAAAAGGGCTCTGATTATCAGCCCAGGGAGGTGTAACCCAACAACAGTTTACTGTATTGTGCATAGGTTTACAGAATCTTTTGGTCACTCTATCAGGGAGACACTGAAATACTAAGGACATAAATCAGTAAGTAGATTTCATATATATTCAGATTTCATGGGGGAGAATGTTCTGATTCTAAAATCAAAAAAAAGGGAGGAAGAAAGACAGGAAGGAAAACACTAAGGAGGAGTAAAGGAAGGAAGATGGATATAACGTGTAATTCCTTGTCTTGGTGTACACATAATTAACTTTTTTAAAATGCTACATAACAATAAGATTGTATTAATTTCCCAGTGCTGCCATAACAAATTGTTATAAATCAGGTCTATTAAAACAACAGAAATTTATCTTCTCAAATTTCTTGAGGTTAGAAATCTGAGATCCAGTTGTCAACAGGGCCATAATCTTTCTGAAAACCCTAGGGAAGAATCCTTCCTTGTCTCTTTCTAGCTTCCTGCATTCCTTAGCTGAATCGTTTCAATTTCTGCCTCTATCTTAGCACGGTCATCTTCCCTCTGTGTGTGTCTGTGTTTCTGTCTCCAAATTCTCCCTTTTAATCTTGTAAAACATCAGTCATTGGATGTACGGCACACCCTAATCCAATATGACCTCATTTTAGCTTGATTGCATATGCAAATATTCTATTTTAAAACAAGAACACATTCCTGGGTACTAGGATTTAAGACTTGAACATATCTTTTTGGGAGACACAATTCAATCCACTACAATTATAAATACTTAGCAAATGATTTTTTCTCCGTCTGAAATCAGCTATTTCAAGTTCCAAAATAACTGAACTATCATTTCTTTCTGATCTTACCTCAATATGTTTACTTACCTATAAAATGGGGGCACTACTAATTTCTACCTTATCAGATTGTTGTGAAGATTATGGTTGATAATAGATTAATAGATTACGATTGTTTAGACTAGCTCCTGCTACAAACACTTTGTAGATGTGTGATGGGCAGCCTTGAGACACCTGCTAGCCCTTCTCACAATAATGATTCTGACAACACTTTACCCTGAAGAAATGAAAAGATTAGCTAAATCTTATTGTCCAGACACCGTGGGAAGGAGTTAGCCTATTAGTGAGACAGCGCTAATTAAAGTATTTTTATTATGTTTTCTCCATTGTTTCTGCAACTTACTCTGTAATTGGACAAGTTACTCTATTAGACAATGACCTTGGGCATTGTGGTTGGTTTTAGCGGCCCATTCTAAGTCAATTTTCTAACACAGGCAGATGAACTATCTTAATTGGCATGCCTGGGGAGAAATATAAACATGTCAAATAAATAACCATCAAGTAGCACAGTGTTGGATGACATTCACTTTCTCTTTTGCCAACTGCCTTTAAGGTAAACTTGGTAACAAAGCAGGACAAGTTTTGCTTGTCTATACAGAGGTAAGAATAGCTTATTTAAGAGGTGTACTAGAGAAAGAAGGCAGCCTAAAGTGAACATCATAGCCCAGCAAGCACCAATTCTCACCATATAAGCATTATTAAAAAACAAACCTTGGCTGTACAAAACAATTGATGTGCTACTGAAGTTTATTATTTTCTTTTATATGTCAGTCAAAAGTCTCTTTCCTCATTTTTAACTATCACAGAAATAAGCATACTGAATCTCTCCCCAATAATCTGCCCAATTAAATGGTGGTGCTATTATGCAAGTACTTTAGTTGGGAAATTCTATTACAGCATCACCTCAACCTACATTATGTGTGCTGGATTTTTTTGTTTGTTTGTTTTTGCATGCAAAAGTGCAAATAAATGAAAAATAAAAATAAAACAATAATTCTCTACTAATTTGTTATCCCATAAATCGACATGAACAACACATCTCAATATTGCGAGTAATTTCTTTTCTACAAGAGCTTCACCAAGCAGAAAGACTTAACAAAGGGGCTGTAATAGACACACTGAATCCTAGTCCTTTGTAATTTGGGGTTAGCTTGACACATTGCTCTATAATTCGTTGACCATTGACGGCAGTCAGATATTTGAATTCTTCATTTTCACATTGCGTCTACAAAGAAAATCAGAAAAAATGAGGAGTCCAGAATCAGTCCGAATATTTCAACTATGAAAAAAGAAAACTGATACTCACTCTGTCTGATTCACATACATACCTACATGCATACATACATACATACATATATAGAGATAGCAAAATTGTTTTCTAATTTTTTGTCCTAGTTTCAGAAATTGCATTTTCATCAAACAGATTCACTTCGGTGCTTCTTTAACCTGGTAGGTCATTAGCATCACCTGAAGGGATTTTAAGGCCTAGGGATGCCTTAACTGGACCTAGAACAATTAAATCAGAACAGAGTAGGGTTGGGAAGGTGTTGCTCTATAGGTATTTTTAAAAAGACTTCCTGAATGATTTTAACAGTAGGATTGTGAACCACTGACTTACTTTGCTAGAATTTGACATTTAGGTGCTTCGGTTTGTTCATCTCCACATCTGTTCCTTGTCATTTCCCCAACATGTAGAAATCACTACTCAATGTTAATGAGGTTCTCATATTGAGAAAGCGCATTTGCTTCTTCATTTTTTCCTTCCCCATGGGATTTTCAGCATTTGGTTTTGTAGGCATTAACTTCTTGACCTTTCTAAGACATAACCACGTTAGGTTAGTTTTATGATAACATTAATAACAAAATCACCTATTAAAAATTCTATTTCTGTTTAATTTTCTAGAAAACAACACAAAGTCAATGCCCTTTATAATCCTGCATTGATAACAATGTAAACTTAATCAAAAAAAGTTAGCTTTAAGAAAGTTTCAATTCAATGTCAGAACATCAGAAGAAATTTTGAGATATTTAGCCATAGCTATGCCAGTTTTTCCTAAAGCATGCCCCTTCTTATTGCTTAAATAGGCCTTTAGGTGTTATCTGTCAGATTAACTCTTATCTTTTAAAAATTGTAAATAGTTTAGTAGTGTCAGGAGGCTTAGAACAGCCTCAACACAAGAGAACTATATATTATTCTGTTTCTTAAAGGACAGTGGCCTGAGGAGGAGTATGCATTATAAATAAAATGCACTTCTGGAGAAATGTAATTTCAATATTTATTCATTTATTTCCACACCAGAATGGAACAAAGCTTATGTGTATAGCCAATGGCACTATACATATTTCTTGCATTATAGCTTCCAAGATGTCCCAAACACTGCTATTTTTAAGAAAGCATTCATTTGCAAAGCTTTGTTATCCATTCCTAAAATATTCTTTGCAACCTCTAAAGCTGGGAGGCGGATGTATTTATTATGACAATACTATCTGCCTGGCCAGTATTGTAAAAATAAAATAAAATGTTAGCATTTGACATGAAGTAATACAAGCATTAAAGGGACTGACTAATAGTTTAACCAATAATACTACAAAATTAACCATGGAGTAAAGCCACATAAAAGCAAACCTACAGATAACTTCACTTTGTGACACTTCACTAGATTTGAGCATTGATTTGATTTCTTTCATGTATTTACAGTATAGATAGTAGAGTTACAGAATCAATTGTATAGGTTGCCCCAAAGACCACTTTGTTAAATTTATGAGTAGCTGCTTAGGATCAACAGTCAGAAAATCAATTTCCTTCTATTCTGCTTCTCATTAATGTATAAGTTTTATTTGTTTTTGTACAATTTCCTAACCCATTTGAGAAAGCAATTTAAATGGTCTGTCCTTGCACATACTACTCACTTCCAGTTAAGTCCCTCTATGGCAAACAGGATTTTGCATACAGATAAAATAACAAGAAATAACAACAGCAAGTGGTTTTATAATTGTTCTTTCTATTGAATTAACTCAGTGAGGTCATTCATGGCAAAAATAGGAGGGTCATTTTCATCTTGACTCTCTTTGGAAGAGAGAGTATTAGATGGGATTTAGTTGTGAAGACAGAAATAGAATGTTAGCAAAAACTAAAAATTTCTGGATATTTAACTCAATGGTTATGGGTTCCTTATTGTGGAGCCTGTCCTGCCTGTTAGCCAATAAATATGTATTAGATACCCACAACATCCCAAAAGTAATTAAAAATTAAATAGCTTCTTCATCTCTTGGGTCTACGGTTCGCCATAAAATCATAATCATCAAAATTCATTCTTATTCACTTGGTTCTCTGATATTTTCAGTTCAATCCCATAAATATTTATAGAATGCTGCTTTCTACAATTGAAAAGTTTACAGCCTTGTATGAAGGATAACGCAAGCACATATAACTAGCTACTCAAATGAGCTAAGTGTCATGAGACAAGCATGAGTGAATAACTGGGTCAAAGTACAAGCAGCAAGTCTATTTACCAAAAGCCCATGTACCAAAGTAAGTACTAACATAGGTCAACAAATATTAAAAGAAGATAATTGAGTATATGTAATATATAGAGACTATATGTGGCCTACAAAATGGTGAGGTATCAACTTATGTCAAGAATGACATGAAATGTCTTCCACTTCCAGTCATAATAAACTGTCTGACACCAGAGAGCCCTCTGACTGTAGATAATAAAAATTTGGACAGAATATATCTAATATTGTTTTCAGATACTGGATAATACAGATCTGTGACTTTGAAAAAATAACGAGCAAGGTAAGCTCCACTGTTACTCCATCTTTCTGCATGGATGCATTTTGTATGCCATGGTACAAGGAAGAGAGAAGTTCAAACAGAGAAAATAGGCTTGCCGAATTGAGAAGACAGATTAGAGGTAACTGTACACAGAAGAGGTGTTCCCAAAATCTGCCTATAGGTCCCCTTGCATTTATATTGGAATACTAAGCTGCATACAAAAAAGGGTACAAATGATAGAAATATTTTATTTTTTCATGGGATATAAATTACACAACTGTGTGTATTTTTGAAAACTCACCCACTCTACACTTACCATCTATGCATTCTACTTTCTGTAAAATATACTTTACTTTGGTAGAAAACAGTGACATAACTTGGCTAGTTTTTTAATGGGATCACTCTGGCTGCTTTGTTCAAATTTAAGCTATGTGTGGGGACACATAGAGGCATGAAGAAAAAGTAGGAACTTTTTGCTGTGAGTTGAATAAGAGATAGCTCAACTTGGACTAGGGTTGTATTTGTGGATGGGGTATAAACTGTTACAGTTCTGGTTATATTTTGAAGCTAGATCCATGGGATTTACTGATGGATTGAAAGAGGGCTGGAGGCAAAGAAAGAAGTCAAGAAAGCAAGTGTTCGGCCTGAACAGACATAAGGGTGAAATAATAATGTACTGATACAGGGAAGAATGTGGGTGGAGCATGTGTGGAAAATATTAAGAATTCAGTTATGGATGTGTTAGAAAAGTTGTATGAGACCTTTAAGGGGTCACATGTAGACAGAGAACTGTGCATGGCTTAATCTCTGGGACGCTCTAACTTTAAAAAGCCAGGAAGTTGAGAAAAAGCCAGAAAAAAAAATAGATGGAATGGTGAATGATGCAAAATAAAATTCAGGAGAATGCAACATCCTATCAGCTGTGTTAACTATGCACATTGATGTGCCGGAGGTTAACCTCTCCCTATCAACTGCATCCTTATTCTTTTATACACACTTTTATCTCTACTACTAAAGCAAAACAAAACAAATAACTCCTCATCCACTCCAGTTATAAACCTCCTTTTCTTGTTGTCCAAGTCAAAGTTTTGCAAAGAGTTGTCTCTTTTCTTCCTCCACACTTTCCGTTGACTTCTCAATTCCCTCCAAACTGTCCTCAGCCCCCAGTATTTAAGGAAAAGCCTCATTAAAGTCATCAATAAACTACAGGTCTCTAAACCCAAAGTTTGGGTTTTCCCTTAGATATTATCTTACTTGCTCTTTAAGGAGTACTTGACAATCTCTACTTCTTATAACACTCTGCCTTAATTTTCAAGACATCACATCCAGTTTTCTTCCTACCTTTCTGGATTCCCCTTTTTAGTTGTATTTCTGAGTGCACCTTCTTGCCTTTAAATGCTAGGGTTTCTAAAAGTTTAATCAAAGGTTCCTAATTCAATCTACATTTTGTTTGTAAGAAACCTCATTCATGAGAAGTGGCATAACATGGTGATTGAGAATATTAATCCCTTTTCCAGTCTTCCTTGGTTCAAAATTTAGCCCTGACATCAGTTTTGCCATCATGGCAAAAACTCAGCCTATTTTTGTCTCAGTTTTATTTAAAAATTTTAATTTAAAATTATAATAGTTCTTATAGGATTGTCACAAGGATTAAATGAGTCCATATTAATAAATCACTAATATAAATGAGAGCAGCTTTAGTTACCACATGTAAGTGGCCAGCTCACACTTGATTTTCCCTGGCCTAGACCTCCTTTCTAAACTCGCAACCTACATATCCAACATTTTCCTTTTTATCTTAACTTAAATTTTTCAATAGTATCTCCAACTCAACATGTCCAAAACAGAATTCATTATTTAAAACCCTTGAACATTCCAAGGCTCCCCATCCCAGAAAATGACATTATAACTCAGAAAAATAGGTGATATCCTCGACACAGATTTCCCCCCACCACACCCTTCACATCCCTAACCAATCTATCCACAGTGTATCGATATAGCTTTTTACATGTTTCTTGAATCTGTTTTTTTCCTTGCTAATAAATTATATGCCCACTAACCTATTCTAATCTACTTTTATCTCTAATCTTCATGACTGCAATAGCGTGCTATGTGGGCACCCTGAATCTTTTCTTTTCCCTATTCTCCATGCTATAGCCAGAATCATCTTCTGATTATGTTCTCAAAATTCAGCATAAAATGCTTCGTTGATTTGGCCCGGCGTGGTGACTCACGCCTGTAATCCTAGCACTTTGGGAGGCCGAGGCGGGTGGATCACGAGGTCCAGAGATCGAGACCATCTTGGCTAACACGGTGAAAGCCCGTCTCTACTAAAAATACAAAAACAAAATTAGCTGGGCGTAGTGGTGGGCACCTGTAGTCCCAGGTACTTGGGAGGCTGAGGCAGGAGAATGGCGGGAACTGGGAGGTGGAGCTTACAGTGAGCCGAGATCGCGCCACTGCACTCCAGCCTGGGCGACAGAGAGAGACTCCATCTGTCACAAAAATAAATAAATAAAAATAAAAATAAATAAATAAATAAAAATAAAAACAAAAAAAGCTTCATTGATTTACTATGATTCAGGGCAAAGCCTTAAATTCCTAACATGGCTTATTAATCTTCCCATGGCTGATTTCTTCACGGCCTTATTTCTATCAATTTCTTCATTTTTTGCTCCGTCCTTGCTTTTGATCAATTCTAAAATAACTCATGCTTCCTTCTGCAGAAGAGCATTTGTGCATTCTTTTCTTCTCCACTTATTTAATTCTTACTATCCATTCAGAGTTCAGCTCAATTATCATTTTCTTCTTGAAGCCATTCCTAGTCTCCAGGTGCCATACATAACATCTGCTAATTCATGCATACTTATCAATATGTACCTTTCCTTATTCCACATATTATTTTGTAAAATTTACATGTCAAACTATAAAACTTGATTATTGAAAACTTAAAGAGGGCAGGGCCTTCATATGCTTACCATTTTAAGCCCAGGATATATACATAGCATGGTTCTTGGGAGAAAGCAGTCAATAAATATTTGCTGAATGGATAATTAGGTAGCAGCAGTTATAGTAATGAGAAACAACTAAAAATATTCTATAAGTTATGTGACAAAATAAACCAACTAAGTTTAAGTAACCATCAATATAAGCATAGAGTTAAAATATGTCCAGCCGTTAGCCAGAAGGAATACCGAAGAACAATCATTTCAGAGTGCTAAGATTGTCAAGCAAACATCAGCCCTTCTGGACCTGTTGGTAAAGGTAAAGTAGAGATCTAACGTATTTAGTGATCTTTAGACTTGAAAAGTGGTGGCTGCAATCTTTGTTTTTTGTATGTCCCATGTAAGGGAGAGGAGTTTTTTTGTTTTGTTTTGTTTTTTCTCTTCCAACATTAGGTTCATGTTTGAGACCCTTATTACAAAGACAGATTAATAAAAGAAAAGCACACACATTTCTTTAATGTAAGTTTTATGTAACGTGTTAGCCTTTGTAACTGCCCAACGGGTTCTTCTTGCCTACTGACCAGGTAGAGCTGATTTATCAAGACAGGGGAACTGCAATGGAGAAAGGGCTTAATGCCTGCAGAGCTGGCTAAATGGGAGGATGAAGTTTTATTATTCAAATCGATCTCCCTGAAACTTTTAAGACTGAGTTTTTTTTAAGGATAATTTGGCAGCTTGAGGACTCGGGAGTGGTAATGCTGATTGTTTAGGTCAGAGGTGAAATCATAGTGAGGGTCAAAGTGGATTTTTCTTTCTGTCTTCTGTTCCTGGATGTGATCACAGAACTAGTTGAGCCAGATTATTTAGCTGGATGGCACCAGCTGGTCCATCAGAATGCAGGGTCTGAAAAATACCTCAAACCCCAGTCTTAGGTTTTACAGTAGTGATGCTATCCATAGGAGCAATTGGGGAGACAGGAATCTTGTAGTCTCCGGCTGCGTAACTCCTAAATCATAATTTCAAATTTTGTGGCTAATTTGTTAGTTTTACAAGGGTGGTGGTCTGGTCCCTAGGTAAGAAGGGGTTTTGTTTCAGGAAAGATCTGTTATCTTCTTTGTTTGAAAGTTAAACTGTAAGCTAAATTCCTCCTAGAGTTAGCTTGGGCTCCACCCAGGAATGAACAAGGGCAGTTTGGAGGCTGAAGGCAAGATTTGGGGGTTAAAGGTCAGCGTGAGTTAGGTCAGATCTCTTTCACTGTCATAATTTTCTTACTATTATAATTTTGCAAAGGTACTTTCACCTTCAGAAAAGAAGACCCAAAGAAACAGTGAAACTTTTTTTTTTTGAGACGGAGTCTCGCTCTGTCGCCCAGGCTGGAGTGCAGTGATGCCATCTCGGCTCAATGCAAGCTCCGACTCCCGGGTTCATGCCATTCTCCTGCCTCAGCCTCCCAAGTAGCTGGGACTACAGGTGCCCGCCACCACACCCAGGTAATTTTTTCTATTTTTTAGTAGAGACGGCGTTTCACTGTGTTAGCCAGGATGGTCTCGATCTCCTGACCTCGTGATCCGCCTGCCTCGGCCTCCCAAAGTGCTGGAATTACAGGCGTGATCCACCACGCCCGGCCGAAACCTATGTATTTTTATGAATAGTTACTGTGGAAGTTATGATTGGAGGATAAAGGATATGATTTAATGGTAATGGGAATAAACTGGTGGGAACTAAGCAAGGTCTGTTTGTCAGATTCTTTTTGGCATCTCTATGTCCTAGAAAATAAGGAAGTTCTTTTCCTCTGTGTTATAAAAAGAGTACCTCTAGAATTAAAGCCTACAACCTACTTTAGAGGAAGGTCAGAAAATGATTTTATGACTTGCTTCAAGGGAGAGGGAGAAGGGAAGGTTAGAGAGACTTTCTGCTGTTTTTCAAATGCCAAGGAGCTGCATTTTTGGGATAGCATGTCCTGAATTCTATCATCTGACAAAAACAAATTTACTCACAAAAGGTTAGGAGAAAAAAATAGGCAAAAAGACTGTAACAGGCATACTGGAGCCAGTTAGGAGCACATGATGGAATGGGTTCAGCCATTAGGATGTTTCTCTCTAGAGATCAGTTTGGTCTGCAGACACCTGTAAGCCATTCACTATGCTTTCCATAGGCTCTCTGATTCTGGAAAAGGAGATTAAGAGGAAGCAGACAGCAGGAGGTGGGTTATCCTTTATCAGTCTCAGAGATGATAATGTCCATCCCAGCATGGAACTGATTAGAAGGAGATGCTGAGCAGAGGAAATGACATACATTGAGCAGCATTCTAAGTCTCTCCTGAGTCAGCAGTTCCCCCTCTGGCTTCTTTATATAGTTTGAATTAATATTAAAAGGGCATAAAAGTAGACAGAGTAGATAGCAGGTCAAATTTTTGTAATACTAAGACCAAATATCTTAGTCACTCCAAATATCTTCCTTATTAAATAATCAGTGAGTTTTAAATCTCTAGCATGGGGCCATTGATTCAAAACTGGCCAGAAATAGATACATTTAACCCACTTTCAACTATAATATTGTGTAGGTGAGCAAGAAGATGGTTAAGTATCATAGATTAGCTTTTCTTAAAAAAAAAAAAAAAAAAAAAAAAAAGACATTTGTGGCAGAAACCAGAGCCGTAACATTTAGGATTGCATGAGTTTCAGGAGAATGGTAGTTTTGTAGTTTTGGCTGCTGGCATGTGGGGAAAATATTTAACACTGGAATATTAACATATTTAACAAGAATATTTAACACTTGATCATATAAAGAGGCAAAGTGAGAAAATACTAGTGAGATAATGACACACTGAATAGAAGACAAGCAAGGTTTAGCGGCAGCGAGAAACAACATTGCACGTTTTTTCTAATCATAGGAAATGAGAGTAAGGTAACTACCTTGGATTACCTAGTTCATACTAAATTACCCCCAGTAA
Source organism: Homo sapiens (assembly GCF_000001405.40). NCBI lineage: Eukaryota > Metazoa > Chordata > Mammalia > Primates > Hominidae > Homo > Homo sapiens. The sequence continues at coordinate 81,171,207 of NC_000003.12, forward strand.
AGCCCTCTACTCATCTTATTTTCCTATTTATGTTTCATTTCCAGAAAATAAACCAACAAAATAAACGTGTTGTTTCTATGAGTATTCCTCATGCATTACTGCATCATTCCTGGTCCATCTGAAGCTCCCTGTGTTCCAGAAATAATACCTGTGACATGATTGATTCTCATAATCTCCCTTCTAAATAATTGTAATCTTCCTACATATTTCTGTCGATTTGAAGTTAAGGCACAACCTCCACTAAGCGTCTCTGTAATCTTTGCTTCAAGACAAAATGATTCCTCCCAAATCCTAACTTCTTGTCTTCCTCAACCAGGTGAACCTCTGTTCCTTGGTTTCACAAATCAAAGGATCTGCATGGATGCTCCTGTTACTGCGCCTCCACACGTGATGTCCTGTAATAGAAATTGGTACATATTATTTGAGCCCATGTTTACAGCTCACATGGTTACAAGGCAGCTCTATGTTCTGCTTTCGGGTGATCTTATATTTCATTTATCTAAGTGAATGCTCTGCAACCATTCAGAATTCAAGAATGTACTTTGTCCCTCAATGAACAAAATGGAATTGGAACACATCTCTTCCCTATTACTGACTGAGATGAATTTGACAAATACCCATTAGACCAGCCAACGGCTTGCTCAGTGACTCCTATTTGCTTGAATTTATTTAGCAAAAGACCCTGATCTATCAAGTTAAATGCCTTGATAATTCATCAGTTTACAGATAGTCAAGTGCCCTAGCCTATAGCCAGGTTATCAATCTGTGAAAGGTGAACATTTGGGTAACTCATTTAACTGAGCAAGGTCTAAAGCTTCAAATATTTTAAGTTATTGGAGGCCATGGCTGAGCTGTAATCTTCCCCTTGTCAAATATTACAAACTTACAAGAAGACATTTGTTTCCATGAACTAACTGAGCTCTAAATAAATGTATTTTCCCCTACAGTTAATTTCTGACTAGGTAATTATTCAGGAGATCTTCATTCTATTATTATATTGGGTATGCGTTGGTTTGTGCACAGAAATTATGCTGTTTTGACAGCTTTATTATTTTTACTGGTTGGCTTGCAGTGATTTATCTTATAGTACATGAGGAATTTATTTTTTTAATTGGCTCTGCCTTTCTTTATGAATGTGTTCATGAGACACCATAGCAGTTACGATATTTTCCACCAATTTGGTAATCTTGTAAACAGCAGTGTTTCTGAAGGGCCTCAGGCAGTTTTGAAAACAGGATTAAAAAGAAAAAGCTAGTGAATTTAGTTTCACCTCTACTGCTTTTCTCACAGTGCCACTGTGGCATTGCCCTTCACTCTAAATAAAAGATGTAGAGCTATTTGGGCTCAAGGTAAAATTAAATGTAAAAAATTCTGATCAGAAATAAACCTTATAATTTATTCTTTTAAATTGCATTAGAAACTTACAAAAGAGATGCTCTTAATGGAATAGAATATTAGTTTTATATTGCTGATATTACCAGACAAGCCCTATGCAACTGGTATCCCAGCACGTTACATCAAAGACCAAAGTTATGACATCTCGGTATTTAACTATTATCTCAGGATGCTTAACTCGGGACCCTGGAATGAACTAGCTTTCAATTCTTGAGCCAAAATTTAAAAGTTAAATAATTTCATAGATAGGACTGGTTTTCAGGCTTATCAGTTTTCACAGTCTTCAAGCAGATATGGCTTAGTCAGCTAAAGGCATATTTTTTGTAATCTAAACCTATGTAATAAGGATCTCCAAAATTTATTGCAGTTGCAAAATAGGTAATTCAAGCATTTCTTGACTACCATTTTGTTTCACAATAGCTGAAAATATATTAAATAGCTACTCTAAGTTAGGTCTTGATACAATTTAATAATACATGAAATTTCATCCAAAAAGCCAACTACTTTTAACACAGGGAAATGCCACTTATTAGACTCTCATTCAGCAAATATTTAATAAGCACTTTCTAAGTGCAAAATACTATGTTAGGAGTTTTAGGAGATTCAAAGATAAAATGTAGTATCCTCGGTGCGTATTTTCATTAAGTCTATTTATGTGTACATTAAAACTGCTATTTAACATAGAAAAAATGCACTTTATGGTAATGTCTATAAAGTACTTTGGAAATCCATTGGAAGCAGAGAGAATTTCCAGGATGTAGATTTAGATTTCAGACACAAGAAATGATTGGAAAGGCAAGGCAGGAGGAGTAAACAGCCTGACTAAGTCCTATCTGACATCTAATCAAATGTACTTATGGCCCTCAGGTGACATTTCTAACAGGGTGACCACAAAGTATCTGGAGGAGGAAATGCAGCAATGCATGGCAGAACGAGGTACAAAGTGGCTGTCTCATTAGCTATAGGTTAAAATCACTTGTCTTTAAGCCCCACTTCAGACCAATTAAATGAAGATTTTTGGTGATAGGAACTGGTTTAGGCATCTTTTTAAAATGCTCTAGGTGATTCAAGTATGTACTCATTGCTGGGAAACACCAACTACATTCAGTATAGAAAACGCCACCAACTGGCCACAAAATGAAGTTTCAATTTCAAGCATTCCTGCCTTTGAGTCTCGTTTGGCCTGCAATAGCCATCTTTATAAAGAGAAGAAAATTTAATTTATGTTGTTAAGCCATCTCCTCGTTTCTTCTTCACAACTATAATACTGTTAAACCATACTTCCTGTCATTTAACTGAAAACTTTAGAACCAAAATAATCATCTTTCTCCCCATCTTTGATTCTGTGACAGTTCTGAAAAAATGCCAGAATGTCTTGGTATCAAATTCCTTGAGTTTTGTTTTTTTATCACAAGTCACCTTTCCCTTCCCTTTGTCTCATGGCCATCCTCTTGAGCTGTGCTGTCATCCCTTGTTTCACCTCGGGAATGATGAATTCAACAATCCTAGTCTCTAGTGGAAACCTGGCCTTTCTCTCCACTTTCTCAAGCTCCGCTGCAAGAAATTTTTAACTTTACCATTTTGTGTACTCCGGTGAACCTCTCATTTTTACTCTACCCATCATCTCATTACTGTCTTCACCTCTGTTCATGTCTAGCTATAACACCATAATAAATCTGTACAATCATTACCTAACACATACTCTCACCTTCCCAACACCCTTTTCCCTTCCAATTACCAAAAATAACTCTTGAATTAACACCACAATCTGTTTTCTTCACGACTTACTGCAAAAGGTAAACATTAGTGGAGAAGACTCACATAATCAATGATACTGGTATCATTACGCTTCACAATCTCTAACCAGATCCAGGATTTCAACAGTGTTTTGCCAGATTGCTCTGGTAATATTTTTCTCCCATTATCTGTAACATATATGTCATGAGATCGAGATGATTCTTAATCTTTAATCTTCCCTCCCTCTCTGTCCATCTCAGAAGATAACTTGGCCTCACACATCAAAAATAATTTGTGCACTGACTTTTCTCCCCTCTCTCCACATCATCAATTGCCCCCTGTGAACTGGGCATTTGTATCAGCATAAATACGGTGACTCCATTTCCCTTTCCATTTACCTGTCCTTTTAAAGATAAACTCTTCAGACAACTGTTTTTAATTTCTTCAGTTTGATTCTCTCTTGAGCCCAAACCATTCAGGTTTTCACCAGTTACATTCACTTTATTAAATCCAAGGATGAGTTCTCAGCATCTTACTTGACCTATCAGCAATGTTTGACATCATTGGTTCACTTCTTTCTTCTAAAAACACGTTTGTATTTGTTTTCAAGGGCACTACACTGAACTAATTTTCTTCCTTTTTTGAAATCACTGCTCCTTTTCACTCACTTTGGTTGCTTGGTACTCATTTTCTTGACCTCAAAAACTTCAAATGCCCCAGATATCAGTCCCTGAATTTGTTCTATCTACACACAATTTCTCAGTGATCTCATCCAGTCTCGTGACTCTAAATGCCTTCTACACAATGCATTATAACATTTATACTTTTCAGACTAAACTCTCCTTTAAGCTCTTGACTAATATATATAACTCGATACTTTATATATTGACCCAAATATCTAATTGGTATTTTATACTTAACACGAGAATCCACAATCCTCACATTCTCTCTCCACCTGCGTCTTCAAAATCCTTCATCTAAATAATGAAGTTTCCAAGCTTGTTAATTCAGCCTAAAATATCAGTCCTCTTCAATCCTATTTTTTCTCACTATCTTCATTCAATTATTTTCTAAATTCTATATACTTTACTATTAAAACATACCCATAATGTCATTTCATACACTTTAAAAACATATCCAGAATTCTATTTTTATTAAATTTACTACTGTCACGCTGGAGCAAGCTTGGATTATTTCAATTTTTTAAATTCATCAGTACCTCCAATCCAAAATCCTTTCTAGTTCTTCTTTAAACGGTCTCTTGATTCAATCCTTGCCTACTTCAGTGTATTTTTAATATGGCAGCCAGAGGCCTTCTGTAAAATATAATCAAAATCATGTTGTTCCTCTCTCTTCATAAACTTCTCATGTCTCTGTGTGTCTGTTGGAGTGAAAACTACTCTCTGTGCTGGAACTGCAGAAGCATCCTGTCTCCCTGTTGAATACTTCAGACATATTCTCACATTAGAGATTTTATACTTACTTTGCTCTAGAATGTCCATCCTCCAGATATTTGCATTACTCTTCATCCCCCTCAAATCTCACATTCTCTGTGAGACCTACTCTTATCATCCTATTTAAAAGTAAATCTCCAAAATTCTCTATCTCCATTCCTGATTTTACTTCTTTCCACAGACCTTATCATCTAAAATAGTACATATTTTACATATTTATTTGGAGGGCTATGTGTCTTCCTACCTTCTAATAAAATATAAGGTCAATGTATTAGGGTTCTCGGGAAGGACAGAATTAATTGAATATATATATTTCTTATATATACTATATATATAAATTAATTGGATATATATATATGTGTGTGTTTATTAAGTATTAACTCACATGATCTCAAAGTCCTACAATAGGCCGTCTGCAGGCTGAGGAACATGGAGAACCAGTCCGAGTTCTAAAACTGAAGAACTTGGAGTTGGATGTTCAAGGGCAGGAAGCATCTAGCACAGGAGAAAGATGTCAGCTGGGAAGCTAGGTCAGTCTCTCTTTTCACATTTTTTTGCCTGCTTATATTCTAGCCACACTGGCAGCTGATTAGATGGTGTCCACCCAGATTAAGGGTGGGTCTGCCTTTCCCAGCCCACTGACTCAAACGTTTATCTACTTTGACAGCATCTTCACAGACATACCCTGGATGTATATTTTGTATCCTTCAATCCCATCAAGTTTACACTCAGTATTAACCATCACAGTCAATAATTAAAGAGGATGTTTCCAGTGGATTACTTTTTATGTTCCTATATCCTGAGCAGCTAATGTGGTGCTGGTACATGATAGGCATTGAATAAAAATTGTTCAGTGAACACAAGGATAAAAGCAATCAAACAAAATAGTCATTATGTTATTTTCCTGTCCTCAAATCTGACCATTTACTTTCATCTGATACCATTCACTTTTACTTTCTTGTTCTCACAAAGAAAAGCTATCTCATCTTCTATCAAAAGACATCCCTCTATAAGCACTTTGGACCCCTCGCACTGTCTTTCCAAAGACTTGATTCCATTTACCCACATTTTGCATCTACTAAAACATGTCTTTCAAGATGACAACATCCTTTACTTTATTCCATGATTTAATAACATTTCCTTGCCCCACATCTCTCTCTAGCTGTTTTCCTAGTTCCCTATGCTCCTTAAATAGATAACTTTCTTCCAATAATTGATTATACACTCTTTAATATTCTCATTCTCATTGACTCTTCAAGCACTTTTATTCTTAATTCTGCCTCCCGACTCCACTATATTCTTTCTGGCTGAAGTCACAAATAAGCCCCAATATATAAGTTTCAATAATTATTAATATAATAGTAACTTTACCATCTATTATTATATGCCCAGTCTGTTCTATACATTAAGATGATTAAGATTGTTAGGAAAACAAAAATTACAAAAATATACTCCTTCTAGTACTATCAATAATTTTCTGTGATGGGCAACGTGATTGTCACTGTATACCAGTGGGGAACTGCTGAATAAAGGGATTAAGTAACCTACTTCACTTTAAACCCGAATTCAGTAAGTGGGGAACCCATTATTTGTACCTAAGTGGTTTAATTTCAGAGCACTCGTAGAAATTATACTCTATAATTTCTTCTTATTTGCCTAGTGTATTTCGACTTTGGGAGTTTCTTAAATATACTTCACTGATTTGTTCAGCACTATCCAAACTATAAATGTTGGAGTTACTTAAAAATTAGTCCTGGACTCTCTTCTTATCACCATCTCGGTACATCTTACTAAATTCGCTTATCTCTGATGACATGCAATACCATCACATTTCCAACTTCTCAATGTAAATGTTCTATACAGATCTCTTTTCTAAACTAATTTAACAACATCCCATCAATCTCTTTCAGATATCTTAAATGTATTTTCGAAGTTTAATTCATGATCCCTGCCCACCATTTAAATCCACTTTATCTCTAATATTTCCTATCTCATTTACTGTCACCTGCATCCACCCAAATTCTACAGAAAACTGAGTCCCCCTTGATATCTCCTTCTCCCTTGCTTTTTCCTCCCACCTGTTAAAACATCCTCTTGAGTCTAATCCAAAATATATTTTGAGTCATCTCCTTCTCCCTGCAACTCTAGCAATTATCTCTTTAGCCTCTTATCTATTTTTCTTGATTCCACTGTTACTTTTCTCTAATCCGTTCCTTATACAGAAAGCATTCTCTTGTTTAAATTGTTTGATAGTTCCACATTGTCATTGGTGTAAGATTTTTTTTTTCTTAATTTCTACTAGGCTTAAAAGTCATATATCTGGCCCCTGCCTACCTCTAGATTTATCTAGTTCCATTCATCTCTTCACTCAGTACACTCCAAGTATACTAGCTTTATTGCAATTCTGCACATATTCCATTACACCTGAAGCCATAACTATATTTTCATTCCTCCTGAAGCTATAACTATACTTTCTGGTTTATCTGAGTAACTAGCCTTGTATATAAGGCCTTAGTCCTCAGGACTTTTCTTTGGGAGAATAGCTGGCCCTGAATTATGATTATTATAAATGCACAGACAATTTCATGGAAGCAGAAAAGAATAAGCCTCAGAAGCTTCCTTTGTCAAGAAATGAAAGTACTTGCAATTAGCATTCAAATAGATGATAAATGTAGAGTATCTGTAGGGTATACAATGATTCTAAATTTAATTGACAATTAGCTGTGATTGTGTGACCCTATAAATAAAATTGTAATAAATTGTATTGCATAAATTAAATTTATTAAACACTATTTTTGCTGTATCCTAATATTTATTAGTCTATTTAATCACTCTCTGAAATTAGAAAAAAAAGACAGTCTCCATATAACTTCTCAATTTGATAAATGCTCACTTAAAAATAGGTACATGAGGGAAACAGAGATTGGATGTATTATAATTCAATAGGCCTATACTTTTTAAACGTAATTACTTATATTGGTAATATGTGGAATATGTGCAAAGTTTAAATGGTTATTAAGATTTTAATATTAAGGGAGAAGAGTAGGAGATGTTATTAGAATACATAACACATTAGATATTAGAATACATAACACATTAAGAATACTAGTCATATCCTTAATAGATGGAATATATCTGTCAGACATAGAAGAGAATCACCAGCACTGTAAACAATAATAAGCTAATTTCAAAATAACAAGAATTAATTTGTCAGTTTTTCAGAAGTGGTCAACAGATTTCTCTCATAGAAATTCGTCTGTTACAATATGTTAGAAACTGTGAAGAATAGAAGCTGTGAAGAATAGAAGCACCTGAAAAGCTGTGTTATTCACATTTGCTGTTGTAGCCTCAATGTTTGTGTCCCCCCAAATTCATAGATTGACACCTAATGGCCAATGTGATGATTCGGAGGTGGGCCATTGGGAAGTGATTAGGTCATAGGTGGGGCCCACATGAATGAGATTAGTACCTTTATGAAAGAGGCCCCAGAGGGCTGCTTTGCCCTTTTCCACTATATATAGGCATAGCAAGAAGGCACTACTTATGAACCGGAAAATAGACATCACCAGAGACCAAATCTGCTGGTCCTTGATCTTGACCTTCTCAGTCTGTAAAACCATGAGAAATAAATTTTTGTTGTTGATAAGCCACCCGGTCTAAGGTATTTATTGTGTTACAGCAGCCTTAGCAGAATAAGACAATATCTTATGACAATATAGTACAAGGATTAATGATTATGCTTTAAAAAGTAGTTTTAGGCCGGGTGCAGTGGCTCACGCCTGTAATACCAGCACTTTGGGAGGCGGAGACGAGTGGATCATGAGGTCAGGAGATCCAGACCATCCTGGCTAACACAATGAAACCCCATCTCTACTAAAAATACAAAAAATTAGCCGGGCGTGGTGACGGGCTTCTGTAGTCCCGGCTACTCCGGAGGCTGAGGCAGGAGAATGGCATGAATCCGGGAGGTGGAGCTTGCAGTGAGCCGAGATCACGCCACTGCACTCCAGCCTGGGCAACAGAGGGAGACTCCATCTCAAAAAAAAAAAAACATGTAGTTTTAAAGATATTTTAATAAAAATAAACACGATTTCCTGAGAAAAAGGTTAAAATGCGAAGTTTTTATTTCTAAAAAAATACTCTGAATAATAAATCATAGAAGAAATGTTACATAGAACAGGCTTAAAGTTCAGAATGGAAACTAGTGGGTACATGAAAGATAGTAAATAAGAGAGCCAATAAAGTAGTAATTCTCCATCACCCCACTTGGTACCCAGGATATATAACTGAAGGACAGAAAAAATATAATTTTAAAATGACAGGTTTATCAGACATTCATGTGGGATTACTGAATTTAAAATGTGTAGGCAAATCAAAACTTTAAAATAGGCTAATAAATAATTCAATAAGCCAAAATGATTTCTAACAATGAATTAAAGTTGGAATTGGATATCATCTATAAAATAATAATAAAGACAATCTTTCTTAAAAGTATGTTTTAAAAATAAAAGTGCAAAGAGGTAAAATTCTTTGGTATTTTCTATTAGAAGTATAGGAAAGACATAGCAAAGAAACAAAATAAAAGCAGAATCCCTATTATTACCAAAAAATGCAACCCTTGTGAAAATGAAATGAACACACTAATAATAAAAGATATAAAAATGTTTATGATTTAGAAGAAAAAGGTGAAGGGAGTTTCATTAAGATCAAGAAATGTTGGGTGTTATTTTGTATTTGTTTCTAATAACAGGGCATATATTTACCTGTTCTCTCACTAATTTATTTAATATATATTTATTGAGCACTATCCATTGTCAATATTGCTTGATGATAAGGTCACAGAGATGGAACACAAAATTTGCACGGTCAAGGACTCATAGCCCAGTAAGTAATAGTGAAAGGTGAAGCCGACTGGGCATCTGGGTCAGCTGGGGACTTGGAGAACTTTTCTGTCTAGCTAAAGGATTGTAAACACACCAATCAGCACTCTGTAAAAACGCACCAATCAGCACTCTGTGTGTAGCTAAAGGTTTGCAAATGTACCAATCAGCACTCTGTAAAAATGAACCAATCAGCACTCTGTAAAATGGACCAATCAGCGCTCTGTAAAATGGACCAATCAGCAGGATGTGGGCGGGGCCAAATAAGGGAATAAAAGCTGGTCACCTGAGCCAGCAGCAGCAACCTTCTCAGATCCTTTTCTACACTGTGGAAGCTTTGTTCTTTTGCTCTTCACAATAAATCATGCTGCCGCTCACTCTTTGGGTCCACACTACCTTAATGAGTTGTAACACACACTGCAAAGATCTGCGGCTTCACTTCTGAAGTCAGTGAGAACAGGAACCCACCGGGAGGAACAAACAACTCCAGACATGCGAACTTTAAGAGCTGTAACACTCACTGCAAAGGTCTGCAGCTTCACTCCTGAAGTCAAGCAAGACCAGAAACCCACCAGAAGGAAGAAACTAGAGACACATCTGAAGGAACAAACTCCAGACACACCATCTTTAAGAACTGTAACACTCACCGTGAAGGTCCGCGGCTTCATTATTGAAGTCAGCCAGACCAAGAACCCACAGGAAGGAATCAATTCCGGACACAATAGAGTTCAGGATGGAGAAAAATACACAATTTAAAAAATATTATGAGAGGTATTTTGAAAATTAGAACCAGTCCAGTGTCAGCAGAAGAGATAACTTTTGGGATTTAGAAGTTTGGTAATTGTTCTTAAAGCTAACTGGAATAGGCTTCTTCATGCCAAGCTAATTGGTAAATATTAAAGGTATGAAAAGGTAGTAAAGGCTGATTGTAAATGCACCAATCAGCACTCTGTAAAAATGCACCAATCAGCGCTCTGTGTCTAGCTAAAGGTTTGTAAGTGCACCAATCAGCACTCTGTAAAATGGACGAATCAGCACTCTGTAAAATGGACCAATCAGCAGGATATGGGCGGGGCCAAATAAGGGAATAAAAGCTGGCCGCCTGAGCCAGTAGCAGCAACCTGCCTGGGTTTTACATTATTGATGATTTTTCTACTGGATTTCAATATAGGGGGAGAGAGCTCACAGGGCTGTGCATTAGTGATAATTGCTATGTAAGAAATTACTCAAAATTTAGCAGCTTACAACAGTGAACATTTATTATCTCATAATTTTAAGGGTCAGAAACATCCCCAAAAGTCTCATCCCAATAGAGATTTCACTCACAGTCCAGCATGTCATTATTTAAATTATGTTCAGGAGTAAATACGTTTCCTCAAATAAAATCTGTAATTATTGCTCTTTGTTTACTGTTTCTTTAAATCTGTGCAACTGTGAAATAAAGAACATGTTAGCTGGTTCTAAACATTAAATGAGGGTCATAAAAACATTGTGTCCGGAATTGGTTCCTTCTTGTGGGTTCTTCATCTCGCTGACTTCAAGAGTGAAGCCATGGACCTCCATGGTGAGTGTGACAGTTCTTAAAGATTGTGTGTCCAGAGTTTGCTCCGTCAAATGTTCAGATGTGTCCGGAGTTTTTTCCTTCCTGTGGGTTCGTGGTCTCGCTTGACTTCAGGAGTGAGGCCACAGACCTTTGCAGTGAGTGTTACAGCTCTTAGAGTTGGCATGTCCGGAGTTGTTTGTTCCTCCCGGTGGGTTTGTGGTCTTGCTGACTTCAGGAGTGAAGCCACAGACCTTCACAGTGAGTGTTACAGCTCATAAAGGTAGTGTGGACCCAAAGAGTGAGCAGCAGCAAGACTTATTGTGAAGAGCGTAAGAACAAAGCTTCCACAGTGTGGAAGGGGACCTGAGCAGGTTGCTGCTGCTGGCTCAGGTGGCCAGCTTTTATTCCCTTATTTGGCCCTGCCCACATTCTGCTGACTGGTCCATTTTACAGAGCGCTGATTGGTCCATTTTACAGAGTGCTCATTGGTCTGTTTTTACAGCATGCTGATTGGTGCATTTACAAACCTTTAGCTAGGCACAGAGTGCTGATTGGTGCGTTTTTACAGAGTGCTGATTAGTGCGTTTACAATCTTTTAGCTAGACACAGAGCTCTGATTGGTGAAGTTTTACAGAGTGCTGATTGGTGCATTTACAATCCTTTAGCTAGGCAGAAAAGTTCTCCAAGTCCCCACCGGGCCCAGAAGCCAAGCCGGCTTCACCTCTCAATATCACTGGTCCATATCAATTTTTAAATTGGGGCAAAAAAAGAATGTTGGAATTTTTCTGATTAGCTCTTATTATCAAGAAATAATTTTCCATGGCTCTCAGTTACTCTCTCTCTTGATTTCCCCCTCTGAGCAAACTTTCCTTTTTCAAGAAAGGTAGCTCTGGTTTTCAAATGATTAGTTTTCTCAGTTTGCTTGGTGCCAACAGAAGTTGGAGATAACTTCTGCTTTTTTTTTTTTTCATTTTGTACTGTATCTTCCCTTATCAGTCCAAGCTGACAGTGCTTCTTCCAATATAATTTTCTCAAAACTTCATGAACTTCCTATGTATATCACAGGCATTATCCCATTAGACAAAAGCTATAACCACAAATCTTTTCACAATAAGCTTTTAGCTCCTTGTAGTCCACATTGCTTGAGTGAGGGAATATATGAGTCAGAAATTTGGCTTCATCTCTAGACCAGACTGTCTGTCAGTGCCCTAAGTTTTAAATTTGTTCAGAAGGCATTTCTTAATTTTATCGTCTTCACCATTTGGAAATTCTGAGAATTTTTAAAACCAAAAAATTATATTTTTTTAAAAAGTCCTTTACTCAATTTCTTTCTCTCTTCTCACATTTTACTAAAAGCAGCAAGAATAAACTAGGCTACACCATAAATACTTTGTTTATAAGTATCCTTAACTATTACAACAAATGCTTTGGTTAAATTTTCTACTGTCCACATTATTGTAGACAATAGTGGTGCTAAGCTTTTTGTTCTGCAAAGTAAGGATACTTTCTCCATTTCCAGTAACATGTTACTTTCTTTTCAGTTATCACCAGCATACAGAAAGTCCATATTTCTCATCTATCCAATGCAATTTATAATTTCTCAGATATCCTCCTTAAAATCCTTACAGCTTTTACTCACTACCCAGATCCAAAACCACGCCTACATTTTTCAGTATTTATTAAGGCAGCTTCCTACTTTCAGATACAAAAATCTGCATTATTTATCTACTGCTATATAACAAATATTCCAAAATTTGGTGTCTTAAAACAACAAACTTTTTCTTAATTCTCACTATTCCCATGGGTAAGAAATTAAGTCATGGCCTGCTTGAGCACCTCTTTCATGAAATTTAAACAGAGTCTTTTATAAAACTGCAATCAAGGCATTGGTCTAGGCTATAGTAATCTCAAATCTCAACTGAGGAAGATTTTACTTCCAAACTCACTCATATAGCTGTCGGTAGGCTTCAGATTTTTAAGGTATTTAGCCAGAGACATTAGTTCCTTGCCATATGGGCCACTCTATAGGGTAACTGACAACATGACAACTGGCTGACCTCAAAGCAAGTGAAGAAGAAAGCAACAGATTAGGAGAGGACACTCAACATAGAAGCCCCAGTCTTTATATAATGCAAACACAGAGGTGAGCTTTCATCATATCTGTCATATATTATTCATTAGAAGTAATTTCAACTCATATTTGAAAGCATTCTCCTACCTCAGTCTCCTGAGTAGCTAGGATTACAGGCATGAACCACCACGCCTAGCTAATTTCTGTGTTTTTAGTAGAGACGGGTTTTCACCATGTTAGCCAGGCTGGTCTCAAATTCTTGACCTTGTGATCTGCCTGCCTTGGCCTCCCAAAGTGCTGGGATTACAGGTGTGAGACACCACACCTGGCCAAATGTGGGGAGTTTTGGAGGCCATTATAGAGGCAGCCTACTGCAGACATGGAAGAAGATTGGGAATTGGTTTAACTCTATTTTCAAAAAACGTAATAGGATGCAGACAGATATCTAAATGTTCAATAGACTTGTGTAATAGGCATAATAATGACCCTAAGAAGGTATCCATATCCTAATCCATAGAACCTGCAAATATGTTACCCTATATGACAAAGCGGAATTAAGTCTGCAGATGGAATTAAGTTTGCTTATCAACACACTTAAAATGGGGAGATTATCTTGGATTATCCAGGTGGGCCCAATGTAATCACAGGGGTCTTTAAAAGTGGAAAATGGAGGTATAAAAGGAGAGTCAGAGAAAGAGCTATGGCAATGCAATCAGGGTCAGTGAGATGCTATGTTGCTGGCTTTGAAGAAGGAGAAAAGGGACCAGCAGGCCAAAAAATAAATAAATGCAGATAGTCTTTATACATACTGGAAAATTCAAGGAAAAGGATTCTCTGCTAGAATTTCCAGAAAGCCATGCGGCCCTGCCAATACCTTGATTTTAGTGCAGTAAACCTGTGTTGGAGTTTTAACGTAAAGCATTATAAAGGTACTAACCTAAAGAATTAGAAGGCTACTAAATTTGTGTTATTTGAAGCCACTAAATTTGTGGTCATTTGTTATCACAACATAGAAAACTCATACGGTTTATATTTAGACATGTACTCTACTGAGAGAAAAGAAAACTAAAAATCTACAAAGTTCAAATTGGCTTGTGCATTTAGAAGATGAGTGTATAGTAAAAGATCATTAAGGTGTTTAACAGTAATACTGAAAACATTAGGAGGGTAGAGAATTATTTTTTAATACTGCAGCAAATCTTATTTCATCAAGACAGTGAGATGGACTGTCATATATGTAAACATTAGATAGGCAGATAGATAGATGGATAAGGTTTGAATATTTTGTCGCCTTCTAATCTCATGTTGAAATGTGACCTCCAATGTTGTAGAAGGACCTAGTGGGAGGTGTTTGGGGCACTGGGGTGGCTCCTTCATAAATGGTTTGGTGCTATATCACAGTAATGAGTAAGTTCTCACACGATGAATTCACATGAGATCTAGTGGTTTAGAACAGCCTGATACCTCCTCCTTCTCTGTCTTGCTCCCTCTCTCACCATGTGACACACCATCTCCCCTTTACCTTCTGCCATGAGTGTAAGCTTTCTGATTCCCACACAAGAAGCAGATTCTGGCACTATGCTTTGTCTACAGCCTGCAGAACCATGAGCCAAATAAACCTCTTTTATTTGTAAATTACCCAGTCTTAGGTACTCCTTTATAGCCATGCAAACAAACTAATACAGAAAACTGGTATCAAGAAGTGCGGTATATGGTATGTTATTATTGCCATAACGATACTTGAAAATGTGGAAGCATTGGAACTGGGTAACGGGCAGAGGTTGGAAGAGTTTGGGGGGTCTCAAAAGAATACAGGAAAATAAGAGGAATTTTAGAACCTCTTAGAGACTGGATAAATGGTTGTGACCAAAATGCTGATAGAAATATGAGCAGTAAATACCAGGCTGACGAAGTCTCAGATGGAAATGAGAAACTTACTGGGAACTGGAGCAAATTTGCGCTTGTAACATCTTAGCAAATAACTTGGATACATTGTGTCCACATCTTAGGGCTCTGTGAAAGGTTGAACTTAAGAGTGCTGACTTAGGGTATCTGGCAGAGGAAATTCCTAAGCTGCAGAGCATTCAAGATATGCCATGGTTGCTTCTATCAGCCTAAATTAGATATGGGAGCAAAGAATTACTTAAAGTTGGAATTTTTAATTTAAAGGGAATCAAAGCATAAAAACTTGTAGCCTGACCCCACAGTAGAGAAGGAAAAAGCACTTTCAGGAGAATCCAAGAGGGCTATGGAGCAACTACTTGCTAAAGAGATTTGCATTACTAAAAGGGAACCACATAGTGTTAAGCCTTCAGGTACACAGAATGCAAGGGTGAAAGAAGCTTAGCAGCTTCTACCTGGATTTCAGAGGATGTATTTCAAAGCCTGGGTCCCTAGGCAGAAGACTGTCACAGGAGCAGAGCCCTTGCAGAGAGAGTCTACTAGGACAGTGCCAAGGAAAAATGTGGGATTGGTGCCCCCACACAAAGTCTCTACCAGGGCACTGCTTAGCCAAGCTGTGGGAAGGGGGCTGCCACTCTCCAGACCCCAGAATGGTACAGCCACCAGTAGCTTGCACACTGAGCCTTGAAAAGTCCCAGGCACTTAACTCCAACCCATGCGAACAGCCACAGGTCCTTTACCCTGCAATGCCACAAGAGTGAAGTTCCCCAAAGTATTGTGAGCTCACTTCTTGTATCAATATGTTCTGGATGTGGGACAAGGAGTCAAATGAAATTATTCTGAGCTTTAAGGTTTAATGATTGCGCTGCTGGGTTTCAGATTTGCATGATGCCTATTGTCCTTTTCTTTAGGTTTATTTCTCCCTTTGGGAAAGAAAATGTTTACCCAATGCCTGTACCACCATTGTATCCTAATGTAAATAGCTCGTTTTTTATTTTATAGGTTCATAGGTGGAAAGAACTTGCTTTGTGTCTCAGAGGAAACTTTGACCTTTGAAATTCTGTGTAATGCTGAAATGAGTTAAGACTTTGGGGGACTGTTGGGAAGGGATGGTTGTATTTTGGAATGTGAGGAGGATATGAGATTTGGGTGGTTAGGAGCAAAAAGATATGATTTGGATGCTTTGTCTTCTCCAAATCTCCTGTTGACATGTGACCTCTAGTGTTGGAAGTAGGCCTAGTGGGAGGTGTTTGGGTCATGGGGGCAGATCCCTCATGAAAGGCTTGGTGATGCCTTCACAGTAATAAGTGAGTTCTCCCTCTGTGAGTTCATACAAGTTCTGGTTGTTTAAAGGAGCCTTCCACCTCCTCCCTCTCTTGCTCCCTCTCTCACCATGTGACACGCTGGTTCCTCTTTGCCTTCCACCATGATTGTAAGCTTCTCAAGGCCCTCACGAGAAGCAGATGCTGGAACTATGCTTTGTGTAAAGCCCATCGGCCCATAAGGCAAATACATCTGTTTTCTTTATAAATTACTCAGTCTCTGGTACTTCTTTATAATAATGCAAATGGATATATATATATAGGTATATATATAGGTGTACGTATATATATATATATATAGGTATATATATATGTATGTGTATATATATATATGTATGTGTATATATATATATGCCCACATTATGTGTATATGTGTGTAGTATATACACACACATACATACATATATATGTAGCACATACACATACACACACATAGGAAATAACTGCATCCACTTGAAAAATATAGGCTCATAGTTAAGATTGAAAATCTACTTTTAACAAAGCAGAAATGTATGTATAGACTGTTCAACACTGTTCGGTGTCAAAATTAGATAAAAGGCTTTTCTGGGGGATTTTCGTGTTTCTTTTTTTTTTTTTTTTTTAGCGTTTTCTGTAATTGAGAGCTTTTGCCTAATCTCAAAGGGTTTTCTGAGTAGTTTTACAGACCAGCTATAATCTTTCAAAATAGCCATTACTTTCTCTCCTTTTCAAAATGTTTTTTCCTACTCTACTTCCTCTTTCAGATTATGGTGATTCTATCTACCTATGCATGTAACATGGAAAACAGTCTCCTTAACTCTTCCCTCTCCTCATCATTCATATCTAATTTATCACGGAGCATTGTTTATGCTTCTAAATATCGTCAGCAACTTCACCCACAAAGATACATTTTCCTCTGCACGCTTTTTATGTCATTATAGTTCAGATTCACATAATCATTTTCCTGAACTATAATCTAAACTCGGAATTCATTTTCTAATCTATATTTTTCCCGTCACCTCTTGTGCTTCCTCCTATGCTTTGTCCTCACTACAATCTAAGTTCTCTCTGTAAAAGGCAAATCTGATCAAAACTTCCTTTCTAAAGTTTTCATTGATGTTTTTAAATCATCTGGAGCAATTTGGGAGCCTCATAAAACAACTTAAAATATGACATTTTATATATAAACATGCATGTTAACTTACTATTTTGTCAGTTATAATGTAAAATGTAAACACTTCCCTTCACTATTGCACATCATTTTGTAAAAGAAAGAAATTGTTGAATCAAAGTAGAAATAACAAGATCTCAGAATATAGAATATTCTCCAAGTGAAAACACAATATACTTTCAGAGATATGTATATAAACAGAAAGACAAAAAATAGAAACAGAGAGAAGACAGGAAGGACAGGCCAGACACGGTGGCTCACGCCTATAATTCCAGCACTTTTGGAGGCCGAGGCGGGCGGATCACGAGATCAGGAGATCAAGACCATCCTGGCTAACATGGTGAAACTCCATCTCTACTAAAAAAATACAAAAATTAGCTGGGCATGGTGGCACGTGCCTGTAATCCCTACTCAGGAGGCTGAAGCAGGAGACTCTCTTGAACCCAGAAAGTGGAGGTTGCAGTGAGCCGAGATTGTGCCATCGCACTCCAGCCTGGTGACAGAGCCAGACTCCATTTCAAAAAAAAAAAAAAAAAAAGGAAGCACAAAAATAATGACAAATTTTAAATTTGTTTTCATATTGAAAAAGAACACACTTGACTCCAAAATCACCAACGAGCAATGTAGATCTCTATTGAGTTTTTCTGTTGATGTGATGTGTTTGTGTGACTGGGAGATGATGTGTGAATGCGGATGGGAGATCAGCATAGAAATAAATTGCATATGGCATAAGAAAATTTCTCAAAGCTCCTCTTTTCTGAAGTTACAGATATGTTACTCTCAGCAATTCTGTATAGCTATTTCTTACCCTTTCACTTCCTCTACTCTAAATGAATCTGCCTTGGAGTCATCCAATCACTTTATTATGTAAATTTAATTTATATTTTTCTCATTTCACTTCTTCTCTGATCAACAAACCTGAAAAGTTATTTTTGATATATCTATACATGTAGAAGTTTGGGATGAAGTGAGAGGATATGAGAAATAGAGAATCTAAATATGGAAAATGTTTCTCATCACAAATTGTTTTATTGATAGAAATTTGTAAGTTTTGAAACTAATATTTAAAATCTCTTTAAAAACTTCATTGTATCCTGTTACTATTTTGACACTGTCAAAAATCTTGGGCCAGAAATTATTAGATTGGTTTGAAAGTAATGTCAGTTTTTGCCATTACTTTAATGGCAAATATCTTTAATATCTGGAGCTGCACAGTTCTGGCACCTGATTTGCTAATGAGGAGCTTTCCAGAATTTATATGAAAGAGGATCAGGACCAAGAATTTTGATGAGCAGCAAAGGGGCTCACAAGCATTTCTCTCTGATTGTAAAGGAGGGTGAGAATGCACCTTTGGTACTTTTTTTGAAGCTACATTTGCATATCAAGCACAGTTTTATCACTTATGCTTATTTGAGAAGGCTTTCCCGAAGGATTAAAGCGTTGGTGCAGTCCTCTGCCGAATCTGTTATTTGTAAGAAAATGTGCTATGAAAACCACTGATTTTTAGAAAAAGATCCAAAATCATTGGTATGAAATTCAGTCTTTCATAATTCTATTATGCCACCTTTCTTTCCTCAATCATTTTTACTGCATTCACAATATTTCAGACGTAATCTCTGCTACCAGAAAATGCTATGCTCTTTGTTGCAGCTTGACTTTTGTATTGTGTTGCCTTTGTTCGAAAAGCTCTTGATGTTAACCCACGTTATCTAGTTACCTTAAATGTAGCACTATCCATGTTGTAATTTAATTACACATAATTATTTATGGTCTTTCTCTTCCCTGGAGTGTGGGTTCCATTTGTGTTATACTTCTGTCAAAAGTGCTTCACACGCAATTACAACATGAAAAAACCCTTGTCAGAGTAGAATATCTCAAAATGCCTTTGCCTTCAACCTTATTTGAAGAGTTTCTGGTAGATTTAGCCTGGTTGTTTATGTAATGGTGCAGTGAAGTGTGGTTTGCTAGTCTACGGTGCTAATTATTCCTGGCTAGTTGTTTACCTAAAAAGCTATGACAATTAATAATGGTGACTTGAAAGCTCATTTCTCAGTATGTGCATTGACATGCAAATTTTTCATAATTATTTCTAGTCACCCAGTTAATTAAATAGTGAAGACATAAACTTTATTTCTGCAGAATTCTGTAAAATACTTTATCTCAATATTGATTTACTTCTATTTCTCAATGCAAGTATTGCTTTCCTCTATTTCAAAATCAACAAATCTAACTGGGTTTTATGGTTGCAGTAGTCTGAAAAGTGTCCTCTCACTCCTACAGCATTTTCATATCAAAACTCTGGAATCTGTGACTTTTACTTTATTTGAAAAGAAAGGTCTTTGCAGATGTGATTAAGCATCTCTAGATGAGATAATTCTTTTTTTTTTTTTTTTTTTTTTTTTTTTTGAGACAGAGTCTCACTCTGTCGCCCGGGCTGGAGTGCAGTGGCACGATCTCGGCTCACTGCAAGCTCGGCCTCCCGGGTTCACGCCATTCTCCTGCCTCAGCCTCCCAAGTAGCTGGGACTGCAGGCACCCGCCACCACGCCTGGCTAATTTTTTTGTATTTTTAGTAGAGACGGGGTTTCACCGTGTTCGCCAGGATGGTCTCGATCTCCTGACCTCGTGATCCGCCCGCCTCAGCCTCCCAAAGTGCTGCGATTACAGGCGTGAGCCACCGCGCCCAGCCGAGATAATTCTTGATTATACAGGTGGGTCCTAAATCCAATGATAAGCATCTACAAGAAAGAAAGGCAAAGGAAGGTTTAAGTCAGACCAGGAGACAATAGAAAAGAAAAAGCTATGTAAAACAGGCAAGGTTGGATTGGTGAGACCACAGGAATGCCGATGGATACCAGAAGATGAAAGGCAAGGAATGGCATCTCCCCTAGAGCCCGTGAAGAAAGCATTCTCCTACTGATACCCGGGTATCAGCCCTCTGGCCTCCAGAACTGGGGAAGAATACCCTTTCTTGTGTTTTAACCCACCAGGTCTGTGAGACTTTCTTACAGTAGCTGTAAAAATCTAGTACATTTTGAAAATTTCAACCCTCCCCCTACCCACACACATATCTCCAATGCCATTACTGATTTGTGTTTCTCCATAGTATTGATCATACTCTAAAATACTCCATATATGATTCATTCATCTTGTTCTGTCTCCCAAGATAGAATGTAATGAGGTTGTAGGTAGCATTTTCCATAATGGAAATCTAGGTCAAATAATAATAAAGTCAAACATATTAAAATACATGATACTTCCTGAATAGTAAAAAAGAAAGGATTATTATTACTTTCAGTTTGCTCCGATATAAAAGTGAGGTGCCACATTTTTGTTATTAGCACCGAATCCCTACAAAATTCTCTCTTTAAAATAACATGGTTAAGGTTAGTGAGAAAAAAATTAAATGAAATAAAAGGCAGATTGTTCAGTTAGTGAGGGAAATAAATAGTTATATGGGATAGCAGGTTCTAAATGTGGTACTTAGAATCCATAAGGTAGTCAACTTATCACTGTCAAACTTGATATTTCATGGAACGGAAACGAACATAAGCTCTTGATATTTCCAACTGGGAACGATCTACAAAGACGCCTGTAAATGAGGCAAGAAAGCACAAAATAAATCAGCAAGTATTCATGCACTGATAAGGACACCACAGTTTTACAAGAATTTTATTGATGAATGACAGAAATTTATTATATTTTTATAAGCCATTCAATTAAATAAGACAAAATATTTGTGATGTAAAATAAAGACATTTAAAAGAATAACTGGTGTACTAAAGTTTTATTAACCTATATGAAAATCCTAGTGCATTCTGTGAAACTTACTTTTCCTCATTACTAGAGATGTAATGTCAAACATTTTTACTTTGCCAGATAAATTTAATTTATTTTGCAATTGAATTGTATAGTGGCAATGGATATCTATTGGAGGATAATATCAATTACTACAAATAAAATTGTAATGTGCATTTTATATTAAAAATAAACCTACATTACTTAAATAAGAGAGCTATTAAAACAGTAGACAATATTATTCCATAATTCTTTTGTTTTCTTTGTCCAAAATGAAATTCAGTGCTCACTATCATATTTAAATGATCAACACAATTGGATAATATTAATATTAAAATAAATATTTCTCACACACACATACATACACACACATACACATATGCCATGCAAACATGTACATATATACACATACACACACACCCTTTTAGTGAATATTAAAGTTATCTAAACTATTTTTTTCCAAAAATGTCTACCTTTATAGTTTTAAATCTAGGACAATTGAATAGAAGTATTATAATATCTTCTGCTATTTTTAAAGAATATAAAGTGCATATGGAATTCTTAGAAAACTCCAAATTAGTATGGAAAATTCTACTTCATTTTTATCTTTTATTATAAAGAAAATGTAAATTTATATTCCAAGATTCAGTAAAGCCTTCAGCCTATTTTTGGACTTTCTAATCAAAACTAATACATCGACAAAACACGTGCTCTCACAAATAAGAGTAATGTTACAGCTTCTACAATTTTAGATATTTGATTTCATGAATATGTATGACTGATCAAAACTTTAAAATGTACATTTTAAAGCATTTACCTGAATCTCCATAGGAACTGGTAAAAAAAAGTTGTGGAATAAAACTGGTTTTTATTTTTAAAAAAGGACATTTAAAACTACTATAGCACGGTAGCAATTCCGTGATAAAACCGTGTAGATTTTACAAATTACCAAATAAGCCACCACTGGTAATTGGACCTTGTACCAAGTATCTTTAATACAATAAACTTTGTTTTGTCTGCTGTGATTAAACAGATAAATATAATATTTACTTTCTACTATCTAATTGTTAGCCATTGCTAATGATCTAAAATGTTTTGAGTATTAATTATACAACACAAATGTCCTTAGCTGGAGCTTATCTTATAGATTACAAGTTTATATGCCTACCACATATTTTGACTTGATGCTTACAGCATTTCAAAGTCAAGATAAATGAACCAAAGGACCCTCTACAGCCCCAACCTGTTGTTCTTTCAGTGTTGTTTATCAATAGATATTAATGGATCATATATGATATGCTAGTTATTGTTTTAGGCACTTGTAATACATCAGTGAACCAAATGGAAGAAAATTACTGTCTTCATGGAACTTATATTCTAGAGATCTATCTATTGAACAGAACATTTGAACATCAACTTTGATTCTGCTATCCTCTCTCCCTGTCTTAGGCTTTTTAGGTTGTTCTTTAAAAGGACATTAGACTGAGTAATTTATGAACAGCATACATTTATAGCTCATAGTTCTGAAGGTAGAAAGTCCAAGGTCAAGTCACCAGCAGATGTAATGTCTGTTTAGAATTCACTCTCTGTTTCAAAGATAGCACCTTCTAGCTAGCTGTGTCTTCATGTGGTGGAAAGACAAAAAAGCCCCCTCAGGCCTCCTTTATAAAGGCACTACTCCCATTCATAAGGTCTCATACCTCATGATCCAATCACTTTCTGAATACAATTACCTTAGGGGTTAAGCTTCAATATATGAATTTTGGGGAACACAAATATTCAAACCACAGCATTTTGCCCCTGGTTTTCTGAAATTCATGTTCTTGTCACATGCAAAATATATTAATTTCATCCTAACAGCCCCAAAACTCTTAACTTGTTCTAGCATCAACTCAAAGTTCTTAAGACTAAAATCTCATCTAAATCTCATTTAAATTGGATACAAATGGGACTCAAGAAAATATGACTCATTCTGAGGCAAATTTCCCTTCCTGTAAGAAGATTGGGACTCCCTATAGCTCTTCTTTTCTGATCCATCAACAGAATCACCCTTAATGATCCATTTATTGCATTGCAGGCTTTTTCTAGCAGGCACCTTCAAATCCTTCAGCCTCTAACCATTACTCAGTTCCAAAGCTGCTTGCACAGTTTTAGGAATTTGTTATAGCAACAGCCACTCTCAGTAACAATTTCTATGTTAGGATATTTGGGCTACTGTAACAAAATACCTTAGACTGGGCAATTTAGAAGTAGCCTAAATTTATTGCTCATAGTTTTAGTTTCAGAAGGTGGGAAGTCCAAGAATATTCTTCAATAAGGGTTTGCTTTCTTCCTCAAAGTTGATGCTTTCTAGCTCGTCTTCCTATTATAGTAGGAGCAGAAAAGCTCCCTTAGACCTCTTTTATAAGAGTTACTAACTTCATTAATCATGAGGGCAGAGCTCCTGTAATTGAATCACTTTCTAAACACCCCTATCTTTTAATACCATCACCTTGGCAGTTAGGTTTTAACATACAAATTTAGTGATGAAAGAAACATTCAGACCACAGCACATCCTAATACCCAATCAATAACCAAGTTTTTTCTATGCTATCATTGAAAGAATTCTCTCAAATTCATTTAATATTCTGCATTTCTATTGCCACTATCCAAGTCTAAGCTTAGAGTTACATATACATATATGTGTATAAATGTTTGTATATATATATAATATAATTCCCAAACTCAAATAAATTAAAACATAAAAAAAAAATCAATAGAAAAGGAACAAAAACATCCTCTTCATTGAGTCTATATTCACCATTAGATTTGTTTTGTTTGAATATCTATTATAATCTACTCCCTGGCTGCTGACCTAGTCAGTGAAATTCTCAATATTTTCTTTTAATATCTGGCCACACTGCCTCATTTTCTGTTATACCCCCCAAAAAATAAATTTTTAATTCTCAGCATTTCACTTTTCATCACACATTAAATCATCATGTTATAGGACCAACAGATCTGTATGCATGCTGCACAGTAACATACCAGTTACACCAAAACGGCAGGAATACAGCAGAGAAAGACTTTAATTATTGTAGGGTATAGAGTGAGGAGATGGAAGAAAACCCTCAAATCCATCTCCCCAAGGAGTTCTGAGGTGAATTATGAAGGGTGAAGGGCTGCAAAATTGGGGTCATTTATTGGCTGGGGACAGGAGAATGAAAACTTCAGTATGTGAAAAATGCATTATTTGGTGAGTCAGCTCCTCCTGGGGTCCTTCAGACCAGCTGAGTCAGTAGTTTCATCAGTACACAGGACCTAAAGGAATATTCCAAAGGAATAACTTAATGTTTCATAATGTTCAGATTGTTATGTACAGAGCAGTTAAGGGAACTATAATCTAGGGTCCACATCATTTTAGGACAATAGGGACCAAACGATTATGAGAAAGCAGGTCAGGGAGCAAGCTGACCTAATAATTAATGCTGAGTATGTTGCAAGCTTAGTTTATTTTTGTTTCTCCCTTCTTTTCTCCTCTGATTAATTTTATAAAGCTATAAGGACAGTTTCAATTATATATGCCGTATCTCAAGTTAAGTTGTCACAAATCCATGCCCCCTTTTAGACTCTATCTCTTACCCTCCAAATGACTAATATTTACATATATTTAACGTATCAGCTGAAAAATAGATGAACTGCCTCTGAAGTTATTTACAGCTGAAGTGACTAAAAACAGATACAAATATAGGATAAACATTTATATTTTAAATTTTGTAATCACAAGCCTTGTAATAACCTCAGAGAGATATTATCTCCTTCAGGTTTAAGTATCCATAAGTCAAGGACACCCGTGTACAGTTATACAGGTTGCATACTGCACAACTCTAGGAGTGCTATTTATACAAGTTAGCTCACAGCCCACACATTGAAAGATGGTGAATGATGAGCAGTGAGTCTGAAGGGGCATCTGATGAATGTCCATTATATCTCCTCAGGCCCATGAATCTAGCCCCAGATGATGTGACAAGCCGTAAGAAACCCCGACAGAATCAGCTAAGTATCTAAGAACTATTTAGATAGTTCAGCAAGTTTTCTAGATACATAATAAACTTGAAATCACTGATCAACTGATAGATCTCTTACCAACAACAACCAACTAGAAGTTGAAAGTAAGATACCATTTTTGTTATCAACAAAATGCATAAGCATTTTGGAATCAAATACTGTCAAACACATAAACAAACAAAAATTCTGGTGAATTTTAAATTATAAGACACAAAAGGAGATTTTAATATATGGGAAAATATTCTGTGTTCATGTGTGAAAGCACTTACGTGTGAGTCACCAAGCCAGTTAGAATACACAGCTAACCAGCATCACAAAAATCTTGGGGATAGCACTGGTGATGAACAGACAAATATATTAATAACATGGAAAAGATGATATATAAATATATATGTATGTGTACCTGACATCTCAAAACCATGAAGAAAAGGCAGATTGTTTTAATGATATTTTAGGCAAATTTGCCTCACTGTATAAAGCCTGAGTCCCTTTCTTTCACTTTACACAACAGATTAAAGTTTCCTTTAGATTAAACATTCGGTTATAGAAAAGCAAAATATAAAGCTAATAAAAGAAACTATTGAAGAATATATTTGTGATCCGGATATATGAAAAAATATTTAAAATATCTGAAATATACAAATCATAAACAGAAAACTTGGTGGATTTCACCATATCAAAATTAAAGATCACTTAACAGACACTGGGTTAATTGGAAGAGTTTATTTGCAATATCTAAAACTGATGATAAAGGATTAAGAAAGAGAATATCCAAATAATTGCAAGTCACAAAGACAATGACAAAAAGCTTGATAGAAAAATGAATAAAAGACTTTAAAAGGCAATTCATAGAAAAGAAATTCATATGTCTGACAAGCATATGAAGAGTTGTTTAAACTCAATATTAATCAAATAATTGGAAATTGTAACAACAATGAGATATAACTTCATAATTCATCAGAATAGTGAAAATCAGAAAATGGGATAATTCCAGTTATTGGCAAGGATGTGAGTAGACAGCAACTTTCACACCCTGCTGGCAGTGTATACTGCAGCAGCCATTCTGGAAAGCCATCTGGCTATATTTAGCAAAATTACGTATGCATGTTTCCTATGACACAGACATTCCAGTCTTAATATATGTTCCAGAAAATACATGTACATATCAGTGGGGAACATTTATAAATATACTCATTTTGGCATTTGTAACGGTAATAAAAAATGATGGCATTCTAGTTGTCTATCATCAGGGAATGGGTTTGTAAAATATGGTGGACGTGAACAATACAGAAGCAGTAAGATGCAGCAAGCTGTAAGTACAAATGGCAACATAGACAAGGAAATTAATCAAGGTTTATAGTAAGCTACCATTTATTTAAATTAACACCACACATAACACGTTTATGAGTATGTATGCATGCACAAACACACACACACACACACACACACACAATTAGCTATTTATTCCTAGTTTGAATCAGTTAGAATGATACTAGACCAGATATGGTTAAAAATAAACACTTTTAAATATCTATGGAAGACTTAATCAACTATATATACATTATATATATATATTTAGAGAGAGATAATATAATGTATATACACATATGCACATATGTGTATATGTGCATGTGTTTATATGTGTGTATAAAACATATGTCTAAAAAGCATAAAGTTATCATCACAATATATAAGGATTTAACATATATTTATGGTAGTTTCATGATTCATTTATAAAATGGTGGGATTTAAATCTTCTGATATTCAAATATCCACAAAGGGAGCTTGGAATATTTTCTTAATGGCAACTGTACTGATTATGTGTTTCTGATAATCTACTTTACCAAGTCTATTGAAGAAATGCAGAGAACTGCTTCATAGCCAAGCGGTGACGGTATCAATTATCCTTCACATGAGTTAAATTCTTTTCTGTGACTTCTGTGGTTTTGCAGATTAAAGTAGGAGTTAGAAGAGGGTTCTGAGAACACATAAGGGACAGTAAAATGAATTTTGCCCTTAAAATTTTTGACAGAATAGAAAAGGAAATTTAATCAGCCACTTTACATTTACATTATTGATTACCAGCAGGATTTTGACTGTCGTGGGTAAATATCAAGAATGTTAATTAGATTATTTCACAATTTGTGTGAAGATTAACAGCAGGCATTATTGTATATAAAATGAAAACTCAGAAGAAGGGAGTTCTGTTCTCTTAAATCTTTTCTTTCCTCATAAGGCTGCTTTCTTTTCCTATATCTTTTATATCCATAGGATAATGGGATCAAACTGTGCACTGCACAGAATATAGATTTGTGCTGGATTGTTCTGTAAGTTTAAGTATGCAGACAGTGTGGTTTTTATCCCTGATATACCAAGGGTCTGCATAGCCACGTGGAAAGATTAATTACAGCTCACATCAATTTTGGCCTCTAGATGTCATGTAAAGTACGTAACATCTGAGAGGAAGCTGCGGAATTTTGATTATGGCCATCTGAAAAACTGTGTGAGCCAGAGTGGGAAAAGAAAGCGGGCTTTTATATTTTTCTACAGAGTGTGCACTAGGCAAGCAAAGGCAGATAGGCTGAAAATCGTGTCTTGGAGGTGCTGTTAAGAAATGCTCACTTACTTCAGTCAGTTAACTCATAGGATTAAAAGGAGGGAGATGAGGTCTTATAAGAGGTGTGCCCCATTTGACCAGTTTCTAAGATTGAAAGTGATGTTGTTGACAGCACTTAGAATATTCAAGGTATTACAGCAATTAATACACTATTGCATACCTGAGAGAAAAAAAAAACAGAAAGCAGCAAGTACTAAGATTTATAGTCACTTTTATGACCTTCCTTTAAAAACAGAATGAATAAGAGAGGGGCAGAATTGAATGAATCTTAACTAAATTCTTATATATGTGTAATTCTAGTATTTTGATGTGAGAGAAGGCAAATGATACGGGCACGCTGCTTCACAGCAGGAAAATAAAATGTGTTTCAGTCTGCTTCACAAAACTGAGGAAAAAGAGAACTAGATGAATCACAGAAAAAAAAATCCATCAAAAAAATCTGTAACATGGATTAGAAAAGGAGACCATATCTGTTCGTCTTTATGTTTCTTACAATCTGCAGTTAATTCCTCAGAGTGTAGCTCCCTAGATATTTAAGGACAATGGGAAATGTCCACAAGCCCTCCTCTTATTTCCATTCGCAGCCCTAGAATGCAGTGGGCTGCAAACAACAAGCCATTTAAATGCCTCCCGAGGAGAATAGATATGCTGCAAGTAGGCAAGCTCACTCTAAGATGAGCAAGGAAACATAAAGCAGGCAGACAGTGAGGATAGGGAAATCATGCAGAAGAACCAAAAGAAAGGAAAAGGAGCAGAATATAAGAAAATGAGAGTCTGCTTAAACCGATGTATGGTAACAAGCTCAGACACTGGAAAAACTTCACAGTCAAAACTGAAACAGCACATCTGATTTGCAGAAGCAGAACAGTGCAAAAATGAATAGTGTAGAACATTTTGGTCCTTAAAGCTAGGTTCACATTCATCCCCAGGAAATGCCAGTGATTGAAAAAGTATTGGATTCCTCTTGAGTAGTTAAAGATGAATTTCTTCTTTTTCCCTGGAGCTGTCAAAATTGGGAAAGAAGCTCAGAATAATTGCTGGACTTGGTCTCATAATTAGAGATCTCGTTTGTGTGTCCGAAATGGGCAACCTTTTAACCAAACAAAGTTTCACTGAGTACACAACAAAAAACATTATTATTATTTATATTAAATTATATGTGTACTTTAAGAGAAAAACCACAGTGTTTACAAATCATCATGTTAACCTCAAGCATCCCTTAAGCCATATGCCAGCCATCCTCAATTATCCCTTTTACTACTGATTATTTGGAAAGTTTCCCATAGTAGAAACAATCTTAAAAATTTACTAGGCCCAAATCAAAGTGCCATTAGCAAACAAGACTGGTACCAAACCTATATGCCAAGAGATTAAAAGAAACTGAGAAGAAGTTTCTCTTTGAAAATGGCATCTGTCACCGAGCTCATGACCAAAATATCCTCCAACTTATTACTAGAGTATATATAAAAACATGCACACCCAAAATAGCATATACCAGAACATACATATCATACATATGCTATACACAATAGCATATACAAGAACTTTTGGTTAATCTATTTCCTTTTTTCTTTCTTTATTTTTTTTTTGTTTGAGACGGAGTCTCGTTCTGTCGCCCAGGCTGGAGTGCAGTGGCACGATCTCCACTCACTGAAAGCTCCGCCTCCCGGGTTCAAGTTATTCTCCTGCCTCAGCCTCCCGAGTATCTGGGACTACAGGTGCCCGCCACCACGCCCGGCTAATTTTTTTTGTATTTTTAGTAGAGACAGGGTTTCACTGTGTTAGCCAGGATGGTCTCGATCTCCTGACCTCGTGATCCACCCACCTTGGCCTCCCAAAGTGCTGGGATTACAGGCGTGAGCCACCGTGACCAGCCCCAGTCAATCTATTTCCAGTCCATAGGAATTTCCACTAACAAAAAGTTTGTAGAAACTACTTAGTATATACATTCTGCTTTTTAATTTTATTTTTATTTTTAGGAGACAGAGTCTCTCTCTGTTGCCCAAGCTGGAGTGCAGTAGCATGATCTCGGCCCACTGCAGTCTCTGCCTCCCGGGTTCAAGCAATTCTCATGACTCAGCCTCCTGAGTAGATAGGACTACAGGCACAGGCTACCATGCCTGGCTAATTTTTTACATTTTAGTAGACAAGGGGTTTCACCATGTTGCCCCAGGCTAGTCTCGAACTCCTCAGCTCAGACAGTCTGCCCACCTCGGCCTCCCAAAGTTCTAGGATTACAGGAGTGAGCCATCGCACCTGGCCTACTTAGTATATACATTTTGTATATACATCAATCAGCTGTTCATGCTAAGCCAGCTACAGTCTTGCTAATTGGAAGTAGAAGGAAGACCCTTTGTCTACCCTTCTGCTGCTAGATTAAGTATTTGAGTGCTTTCAAGATTTCTCTATGAACCAGGGAACTGGATTGGACAGAACTAAATATTACTTAAAGACATGTCCCACATCTCCTTAAACAGTATTGTGTGCTCTATCAAGACCCCTCCCCTTACATGCCTGTCAACTCTGTTTCACTACAAATACTTGCATTAGATTATTGGGTCCCTTCGCATTTTTTCCTCTATTCTCATTTGTTTCCATGTGAAACCTCACACCGAGTATCCTATCTGAAGCTTTGAGAACCACTGAGAAAAGTGGAATTCAGTGAAGAGAGAAGGGGCAGGGGTTGTGAACAGGTCTTAATAGTAAGCACTCAGAAATTCAAGAGATAACCCCAAGTCTTTGGTGCTGAAAGGACAGAGGAACAGAGGAAGTATTTGGGGAACTGAATAACAAGAAAGAACTAGGATCAATAAATCAAATACACTCTCTTTTCTCATCTTCATGTTCTATTTCAATCTGCACTTGCTTGGGGATAAGCAAGCCATTTTCTTTTCTCTGTAGTTAATTTTGTGTTCAGTGGAGTATGTAAGTATGCTTCTTAACTCGTAGAAATAATAGTGCATGTGCAGAATATAGGGAGAGAAGTGGCTTAAAGGAAAGACAAACTTTAGCCTCTTTTTAAATCAATAATTCTGTTTTTCCATGATTTTTCAAAGCCATAAGCCAAATCCTAGGGAACAGTTCTGTAATATAGAATACAATGCTTAAAGTCCTTACTCTGATCTGGACATGCTGTAATTTTCTCTCTCTCTCTCTCTCTCTCTCTCTCTCTGTGTGTGTCTGTACATATATATATACACATATACATAGTGAATACACACCATATATATGTATATGCAAACACCGTAACAACTTCACAAGGCAGGTGTTACCTCATTTTCAGATGTGGAATAATAGATTTAAGGAGTTGGGTAACAAGTAGAAGCTCGTAGAGCCTGAAAATGGCTGAGCCAGGATTCAGTCCCAGTTCTGCGTGACTGCAAATTCCACTTGGCCTTCCCATGTCTCCCATTTTCTAATTGTATTGTGAGGATTCTAGCCCTATTCTAGGCTAAACTATGTGTTAATGTTGGCAGAATTCCTTGAAAGTGTTCTTCCCAAGACCCTGAACCCTAATTGTCCCAAGGAGCTAATACACTATACAAAACCACAAAATATTTCTTGTTCTTAGTTTAAATTTGCTGTCTTTTAACTGTTAAGTTTTAGATTAGGCTCACTGAAATAAAACAAAATGGATATAATGTACACAACCAAGTGAACACTAAGATGTAAACATTTCTGCATCTAGAATGCAGATAAGGACACACAGAACTACAAGGTTTCTTGGTCACTAATGTGTGTTACTCATATTATTTCCTACAGTGTTGTACTGAAATTTATAAACAAAAAATTGGTCAAGTATTGTATCCTCTATATTCTCCTCTGATGCATGCAATTAACAAAGTAGCAAATATGAAGCTGCCCATACCTATTAGAGGAGGGAAGGAAGAAACAGAAGGAGGGAAACTGGGAGTGAGGAATGGAGAGAGCGAGCAGAGGGAGAGAGGGAAGAAGAGAAAGGAAGACTTTATTCATATTTTATTTTTTTTATTTCATAGGTTTTTAGGGAACTGGTGGTATTTGGTTACATGAGTGTTTGTTTTGCTGCTGAAACATGGCTTTTGAAGAAACTTAACTAAAAGAGTGTTTGTGGAAAACAATATATTGGCATCCAAAAGTCAAAGGAAAATGGATTATATTCCAACATTTAATCTAACTCATTAGTGTGTTCTGCTCTATTCTTTTGAAGCAGAATGTGACAGCATTGCATGACCACCCTGTATTTGTCATTCTATTTGTTTCCTGAAAAGGTGAGCAGTATGACATATATCCCACATATGTGTCTCAAATAGCAGTTCCTAGATGGAGTTATACTTGTCTCTTCATTTTGTTGTGACGTTAACTCATGAATATTAGGTCACTTTTCTGATGCCTGAAATTACAATAAATAATAAAATAGCACTCTAGGAAGATGGAGAGAAACATTCATTCAAACAAGAAACATTATTTATTTATTATTTATTTTTGAGACTGAGTCTCACTCTGCCACCCAGGCTGGAGTACAGTGGTGTGATCTCGGCTCACTGCAATCTCTGCCTCCTGTGTCCAAGTGATTTTCCTCCCTTGGCCTCCTGAGTACCTGGCATTACAGATGCCCATTACCATGCCCGGCTAATTTTTTGTAATCTTTAGTAGACATGGGATCTTGCCATGTTGGCCAAGCTGGTCTTGAACTCCTAACCTCAGGTGATCTACCCGCCTCTGCCTCCCAAAGTGCTGGGATTACAGGTGTGAGCCACCATGCCTGGCCCGAAGCATTCATTTTTAAAACACAAATAAGTTTCACAGACAAAAATTTTCTAACATAAGATCTTTAATATTCAGAGTTCTCACTTTTTTTTTTTGCAAATGTCCTAAAGCTAACAAATGTTTGGCTGTTTAATATACAAAAAATGTATACCAATTAAGACCTTTTCCTGTCATAACTCTTTCTTTCCAGATTATTTCAGTAGAGGCCAGGACACCCCAAATCCTGTTCTACTTTGCTCACTGGCTGGGGAACTTGCCTGTCAACAATGGGGTTGTGAGGTGGCTTCACAATGAGGCAGTGAGGTGGGTTCCTTCCCTGTAAGTAATTAGCTCACCTGTTCTCATCATGACCAAATGAGAATGCTTGACCAAATGAGAATACACCAGTCAAAAACAAAAGTTCTTTCAAACATGTAAAGTACACTGGATATATAGGATAGAGTACTCTGTCACCTGCGTCAGAACTGCAGGGAAATCTTGTTAAATCATAGATTGCTGAGCCCCAACTCCAAGGTTTCTGATTAAGTAGGTCTGAATGGGGCTCAAGAGCACATTCCCAGGTGATGCTGTTGCAGCTGCTCTGGGTTTTACACTTGGAGAACCATATGGGGAGTTATGGGCATTCATGACACAAGAAAGCTTGTTGCATAATATTTCAAGAGATACCAATCAGTAATTTTATTCCCATGTCACATAATGAATAATGAAAATGAAATGATATAGCCCTCCAAGAATTGTCAAATCGTCAAATCCTGCATTCAAAGTTCTCCTTTTTATTTTTTTAATCCAAGACTTGTAATCTTTGACATTCTTCTTCTTCTTTTTTTTTTTTTTTTTAACCGTAGCACCTTGATACA
Organism: Homo sapiens; assembly: GCF_000001405.40. Classification (NCBI taxonomy): domain Eukaryota; kingdom Metazoa; phylum Chordata; class Mammalia; order Primates; family Hominidae; genus Homo; species Homo sapiens. Next base: position 81,204,728 of record NC_000003.12, read on the forward strand.
TTACTCAATAAATACAGTTACTTTTTTTTTTTTAACTAGGAAGTGAGAGGAAAGGAACTCTTTCATACTGGTAAGTCTGGCTATTAGAAACAAAACTTCTTTTTTTGACAATAGACGCTGGTCAGGCTTACACAAAATTTTGCAGGCATTTATCTAGTTCTTACGCCAAATGAGTTCAAGAAATCATTATCTAGAAGAGACTTCAAATCATAAGTTCATCATGGCTGATAAAATCCAGAGGTAAATAAATTAGGGTTCCAATTCCCTCTTCTTTAAACCCCACCTTGGGCAGAGTTATAAGAAAAATTGCCAGCTAACTAGCATTGTTATTTTTAAACAGTTATCATCATTATTACATATGTATGTACATGTATTTTCAGTGTTCGTTCTATAAGTATTAACTGGTCTCTAGAAGGCTGCATTAGCACAGCTTTACTCATCTTTCTGAAGAATAATATTTTTCAAAGCTCTTAATAGCTTAGTTTCTTATCTCAAAACAATAACGATCATGTCATAATTTCTACTAATTAATCAAAATTCAGTGCATAGTAATTTAAATATCTTCTCTGTCTTTCTACCAACACCATCCATCATGCATAAACACACATACACATATATATACACAGCATTTTAAAGTAATTTCTAGATTAAGCTTTCATACACTTAGAAAGTAATAGCCCTGTGGCCTTCTCATTTCTAAAATACATTCAACAGCTTTAGTTTTTCTGTGAAAATCCTTTTCCTAACCATATAAGTCCCATTATTTCTTGAGCCTTTTATGGATTTTGTCAGTTTTTAACTGATGCATCTTACTGGGCATGCTCACTAGAAATTTAAAATAAGGTTAATTCTTAAGAAGTATCATTGAAAAGTTAAATCTTCTATATAAAAATTAATTTTTTTTCTGTAGATTTCTGTTCGAGATAGGGCAATTCTAGGTCATCTAACATATAAACTCCCAAACATTAGCGGGTTACATAATAGAAGTTCACTTCTTTCCCATGTGACAGTCCACTATTGGTGTTCTTTCAAAACCAAATTCCCACAGGGCGATTCACAGACTCCACCCCTTAACCCCCCACAACTCTTTCTAATAAGTAGCTCCATCTTCCCACAGGGCAGCAGTAATCCAGCACCACAGAAAATATTCAAGACTTTTTTAGTGATTTCGTGAGTTAATTTTTGTAATAATACTGAAATGTTATCTGTCTTTTTTATTCTCACCCCGATGAGCTAACTGTCACATTCTCCATAACTGTATGATATGTGATAACTTAGTCACTTGAATGAAGAATAAGAAAGACAGTAATCAGATTTTCAAAATGTAAAACAATGCCAGTTTTCTATTTTTTTGAAATATAGTTATATGTCATAAACATGGATTATGTTTACATAATGGGTATTTGTTTTATAATAAATGTGTTAAAATACTTTTTTAAGAATTTCTCAATTGTCATTTTGAATACCATAAGTACTGATGGACTATAATCCAGAAATAAAAAAGCTCTTGAGATCTTCAATATTCTTTAAGGATATAGTGGGATCTTGAGACCAAAAATTTTGAGAGCTGCTATGAGACGGTAATAGATATTTTCTTTTCTGGTTGTGTTAAGGAAAGAGAGAGTGGGGAAGATATAACCACATCTTAAGCTCCATGGCATAAAAGTGGAATCTATCAATTCTGATGCGATCCAATGGTAAGAACTAGCATGTGGTCCATGGTAAAGAAGGGTGAAGGTTCTAGGAAACAAAAGCCCTGTCAGGCAGCCACTCCAGAGCTACAGTTCGATGCTCTGGAAAGAGGAGCACAAATCTTTGGTAGACAGACAACTGTCAGTTCCATAATGTTCAATACAACAGTCATTATTCTCTTGGAAACATATTTAAATCATTTGGAAGAAAATGCCTTAGTTGAGTTTTCTGTATGCCCCCTTATAAAGTAGATGAATCATTCTTCTTTAAATAACGTAGCCATTTTCCAAAAGCAAGATAAGCAAGCCCAACAAAGTGCGTAAAAATTATCCAGGTCATTAAAGAGGTAGATATATCACACTGTGCAGCGTTTACCATAGAAAGTTGTACAGGTTGTTCATCGAATAAAGTTGACAGCCACAGAGCTCCTTGGAAGCTGAAGTCCAGCCAGATCCTCTTAGCAAACTATTCACCCTGGTACTTGCCAGTTTCACCCCCAAAAGAAGCACACTTTATTTTTTTAAGAAAAGCTCAAATTTACTTAATGGTATGCTTTTATGTAATTTGCACAAAGGCATCATACAAGCCATAAGCAGCCCTGTCTGCTGACTCTATGAAGACAGACATTTTAAATGTCTAAATTAGTTCCTGATACATAGTAAAAACTCAATGGATATTTGTTGAATAAATACACAAAAGCATTGAGCCATGGATCGATATGTAACTAGAAAGATGCTTATAATGGCATAGTTTAACACTCTGTCATTGACCTTGAGACTAGTCAACATTTTTATTAAAGCCTTAGCTATAGAAAGAGAAATAATAGGCCAGGCACGGTTGCTTACGCCTGTAATTTCAGCACTTTGGGAGGCTAAGGCGGGCAGATCACGAGGTCAGGAGATCGAAACCATCCTGGCGAACACTGTGAAACCCCGTCTCTATTAAAAATACAAAAAAAATTAGCCGGGCTTGGTGGCGGGTGCCTGTAGTCCCAGCTACTCGGGAGGCTGAGGCAGGAGAATGGCGTGAACCCGGAAGGCGGAGCTTGCAGTGAGCCGAGATCGCGCCACTGCACTCCAGCCTGGGCGACAGAGCGAGACTCCGTCTCACAACAAAAAGAAAGAGAAATAATACTGATTAAATTTTCAGATGACCCACATCTGAAAAAAAAAATTTCAAAGGAATTGATGACAGTATCAAGGTTCAAAAATAAAAATGACAGGGTAAATAATTAGGGCCCTCACTAACACAAGTCAACTTAATCAAAATAAATATCTTGCTTGTACACAGAATAAAAATCAATTTTCTAAGTGTATGCATCTTGACAAAAAGTAGTTTATATTTTTTAAAAGCTTTAAATGCTTTTGTTGACTAAAATTATAAAAGTAATTAACAATATGATGTAGTGCGAAAAATAGCAAATGATTAATTAACATATCCAAACTTAAAGTAGACTGATTTGCCATTATACGTCTTAAGTATTATATCCAGTTTGAGATGTCATACTTTAAAAGCTTGGGTTTTTTCATAAAGGCAGAGTTTTTCCAGAGCAATACTTGGCCTACAGAGATAGAACGAGGGGGAAACAATTAGCGTTTATTCAGTATTTGTCAAGCAAGTGACAATTGTTACCATCTCCTGTGGAGGAGTCCAATGAGGGGAGGATAGTAAAGAGGATAACAGTGCCTACCACTGGGAGCAGCAGTCATGGAATGTTAACCTACTGCATGGTTCGCAGGTGTTGGGATCTCCAAGAAAGACTCACACGAGTACTGGATGGAACAATGCTTTACTATCATATAGAAGAAACAGAGAAAGCCCAGTTTCAACAGTGAGTATCAGTTCAGTTTCTTATGATCAGCGGGTCTCGTCCCACAGTCGACACAGGAGATGACTTGCACGCACCCGTCTTGGGCAGCAGGTGAAGGACCCCATTTCCTCCCAACCAGGAAGAGACATAGCAGGGGATGCCATATGATGAACATGCTTAAGCAGAACAGAAGAATACACATCACGTCTGGAACAGGAAAAATATTCCCAAACAAAGAGATACACCCAGCACAGGCTATGAAAGCTTTCTATCTCTTTTTAAGAACTGGTTCCAGACCCAAAGCACATTCTTAGCCAACCATGCAAGAATTAAAAGACCACATACCCATGATGGCCTTTCGCAGCAATATTTATCTTCAAATATTTGAATAATTGTTTTTGTTGTTGTTGTTTTTGCTTTTTGTTTGTTTGTTTTTGTCTTCCAAAAGAAGTCCAACCTTACTTTGAGTCACTCCAGATGGTAGGACCTGAATTTATACTGGAAAGGTACATGGAAGCATACTACACCTCAAAATAAGAAAAGGTGTCAAACAAATCTATCAGAAACCAAAATGGGCCATATTTAAATAATTGTGCTTTTTCTTCTAGATCATATTCACAAAGATGACACATCTTAGTGCCATGGCAAATAATTGTCCCCTTTATCAGGAAACATAGATGACTTTGAAGATTTCTATCTTGGCCAAGATTCTATGCTACAGTGTCATTCTAATTCTAGTGTGAAGTAACAATAATATTAAGTAGAAAATAAAACAAACAGTATCTTCTTCATTTATTGCTCTAGCAAAATGTTTATGGATTGGGTCATGTAAACAACTGAGCCCCCATCTCACCAAAATATTAGAAACTACAAACGTACACACAATTACCCTCTCTAATTCTGTCTCTCTGCTCCCCACCTCTCTCTTACTCTCAAGAGGGAAGCTATTTTACCAGCTGTAGAGGCAAGCTCTAATGCCACCTATCAATTACTCTGTATCCTTACTTTCTCACTCCCATCAATTTCTAACATCAAACTCCATAAAATGTTAGCATATTCATTCTGAGGTCATCCTGCTTACAGAGAGGGCATCCTATCAACAAGGATATCCAAAAGACATATTCATTAAAGAGTCTTTTTTTAACCCACAGAAATATTGAAGTTATCTTGTGCAGACATGTTTTATTTTTGTCACTTTTAATCACTATACTAACCTAAAAATTAAAAAAAATAGTAAATTTCAGTTTGTCTCACTCATTGTATTTATTCCTACACTAAAAGCTAGCTTTCCCCAAAAGTCTACATATTAGGTTTTCTAAAAAGTGAGATAACACAATGATATTATAGAAAGAAAAGTGGATTTAAATTTTCGAATTCATATAAGCTATATACCTACAGCATATACTATTATAAAATTTGGTGGAAATGCTAGGAATGGCACATAGAGTTAATTTTCTATAAAATTTTTTAGAATACAATAGAAACAACTTGTCTTAATACATTGAATTCAAATAATCTTTGAATGGAAATAACACAAACAGCATGACTGTCATTTATAAAAGGAAACAAAGCCTAGAAATTGATAAATACATACATTACAAATTAAAATTTCACTGTGACATTATTTCTTACCCAGTAGATTAGCAAAATGTTTGAAAGTATATCAAAGTATACTTTATTCTAGACCAAAGGGAAATAGAAAAATATATTGCTGGTGAGCATGCTTAAAAGTGGTACAACTGAAACATTTAACAATATCTAGTAAAGTTGCAGATGCATTTGGCTTTTGTCCCTGAAAATCTCATATCTAGGAATGTATCCCAAAGATCCACTAGAAAAACTATAAAAAGGTATAGGCACAAAGCTGTACATCAAAGGACGGGTTTTATATAAGTAAAAGAGTGGAAACAACCCAAATATGCATCAATATGGGACTTCCTTAAGAAATAACGGCATGCTTCATAAAAAAGAGAGCCCTCTGCTGCTGTAAGAATAAATGAGGAGGCTTCTATATGTTACTATGAAGGGAAACTCTCAGATTTTTCATTATTGGGGGGAAAAAGCAAGATAAATAATAAATGTATTTTGTCACCATTTAAGAAAGGAAGGAATGTGAATATATATGCCTACATTTGACAAACGATGGAATGAAAAACTAAAGTGTGTTTTTTTTGAATACTTAACCTACAGGCAGAGTGAAGGCATAGGATCAATGGCACAGGGATAGGAGCCAGACGTCTTTGAATACACCTGTTTTCATATATTTAAAAAAGCAAACTTCCCAAATAAAAAAGAAAATAAAACAAATAAACCAAATTGTGTAACCTGTTTTTGACATAACCACCCAGAAAGTGGTTATTTCAAGAGCCTGTAATACATCAATTAGCAGTTTATCCCTGATGTGAGATATGCCAGAGGGGGAAAATACTGCAAAAATTGTTTTTAAAAAATTCTTAAATTGATTTCACTAATCAAATTGTTGGTGAAAATTGGCATTGTCTTCTAAGACTTTCATATAAGCAATTATGTGATATCTTCATTCTATCATTGCTGGTATTACTGTGAACTTGTATTTTCCAGGTGGCAGAAAGGAGATTTAAATTAGAGTTGATCAAATAAAAATTCAGTGGTTTTAAACTGTAATTGGAAGAATCAGTTGAGCTCATAATATATTTAAGCTTTTTTAAAAAGTAACCCTACCTCCACTCACTGAAAAGAGTTAAAATTAATGACCTATAGTTGCCTATAAGCTAAAAGGAACTAGGGCTCCTTGGAAAAATGGCCATTCCAGATATGGAGCCGATACATACAAGATGAGACTAGAAGCTTGTACCTCTTAGTAATATAGACATCAAATACTACCTTAGTCATGCCAAAGGGAGTGTAAGTAAATTTGAAGAGGCTTCCATTGGCCAGTGAATGGACAAGAAGGATAATTGCTGCAATGTAGGGAAAATATCAAATATATTTGAAATAATGATTTTGCAATTATATTAAAACACACAAAAAAATCTTATTTGGTTGAACTATACTAGATAACACACAGTTAGTTTAAAAATTGTTAAGTAAAAGAGAAAATCCAATCATTTATTCATCTCTTCTGAGTGCATTTTACCCAGTAGTAACCAAACAGAGGATGATGGGAATTTTGCATTTCTGGAAATATGACATGTAATAAATGAATAAAGAATTTAAATAATCAAAGTAGATAGATTACTAATAGCTGTCAAATAACATAAAGAAAGATAAAATTATGTGCCTACTAATTAAAGAACATATCACCACCAATGAAGGAGATTCAGGAAAAATATCATACATGAATCTGATCGAGCTTCTAAATTCAACTACCAATGAATAGGCTATACATTGACCAGACAAATATGCTCAAAGATACTATGAAGATTCAGTAGTCTAAGTTTGGACTGTGGGGAACTCTAAAGGAAAGATTATAATATTTTCCAACACACAAACATCAAAGAAAAACAAAGAAAGATGAAAGGAAAATCTCTATTGAAGGAGAGGCCAGCAGCACATTTCAAAACAAATGCACTGTGAAAACTTTATTTGGATACCTAGTGAATTAAACTATTAAAAAATATATTCATGAGAAATTGTAAATTAGGATCCTAATTGCTATTTTGTATATTAAGAAATTTTATCATAGGTGTGATCATGGTAATGCTTTTTAATTTTTTCAGGAATTTTTAATAAAGATACATATTGAAATACAGATTAAATGTTATTTCAGGGTTATTTAACTCTAACATTGTAGGGTCTTCGTAGGTGAGTGTGTTAGCTCAGGTTCCCCAGAAGGAGACCTTGAGTCAAGAATTCATGGGCACATTTTTTTACATGAGTATACACACTGCTACAGAGAGCAGAACAAGAGTAGGTAAGAAGAAGTAAGATTTTATGCGAAGTCATGCAGAAGGTAGCTTTAGCAAAATCCTGCAGTGGAAGTCAAGAGTACACACAAATCTTTGAGACTTCCTGATTCAATGCAAAGGAGCTATGCTTCTATACCCTACCTCTGACAATGACTGTTTGAGAGCTGCCCAGGGACTAGTAAATTGCCAAACATTTCTGTCTTGGAAATGAAGGTATGGAGGCACACAAATAGGAAACTGAAGAATTGGCTTTGAATGTTGCAATCGCTTTACGTAGAACAAGATTAATCAGGAGTTGATAATTGTGGAGACTGGGTGACAGATGGTGGAAACACGGATATTCTCTGTATTGTTCTGTGTATTTTTGAAACTGCTTAATCTCATCCCCTCCTTAAAAATGCTTTAAATGATAAAAATATTTCAAAAACTAAAATAAAAGGGCTGATTTCAAACTAGTCCCCATCTAAGGTATACCTTGAGATATCAAGTTGGAGGTTGATGTATCAAGGTGTCAGTGAGGTGCTACAGAAAGGTGTCACTGAGCTCCATGGAGGGAGCATGAAACAGATCTTCAAAAGCTCATTTTCTCATTGCCTCCAGGCCAGCATTTTCTCATTGCCTCCACCTCCATTCCAAGAGTCAATCACCCCTACATGATAATCAGTCGAGAGCTGTCACTTGTAAACTCCTTTAGATGGCAGAAGTCTTTACAGAGAAGACTGTTTCCACAAATTAACTAGAAACAATTTGGGAAAAAAAAAAAAAAGAAAAGAAAAGGTACATTCAGCCTGATGATTCAATTGCAGGCTAAACCAGAATCTAATAATTTGGTCTGCATTTATTCTCAACATGGCTTGGATACAAAAGTACACCCCTGGCTCTCATGGTTTCCATGCAATGCATTTTTAGGTACAAATAATAACGCTCCTATAAAAAGGACTTCTGTTTACCTCACAAAAATTGCACTAAAACAATCCACCACTCTGAAGCCACTAATTTTAACAAGAACCCTGTCTCCAAGCAAATGAAACTATCTTGAGAGTAACTAAGTAAGATTTTCACATAAACAAAACCATTCTAACAAGCAGCAAGCTAGGAAAATGGGTTCTGGATTTTTGTTCTGACTCCACCTCTTTTTTCTTTTTTTCAGACGGAGTCTCACTCTGTCGCCAGGCTGGAGTGCAGTGATGCGATCTCGGCTCACTGCAACCTCTGCCTCCTGGGTTCAAGCGATTCTCCTGCCTTAGCCTCCCAAGTAGCTGAGACTACAGGCGCCCACCACCACGCCCAGCTAATTTTTGTATTTTTAGTAGAGACAGGGTTTCACCATGTTGGCCAGAATGGTCTCGATTTCTTGACCTCATGATCTGCCTGCCTCGGCCTACCAAAGTGCTGGGATTACAGACGTGAGCCACCGCGCCCGGCCCCTGACTCTACCTCTAAACTGACTTTGGGAATATCATTTAACTTTTCTGAGCCTCTATTTTCTTAGCTGTAAAATTAGGAAATAATATTTATATCAAAATATTACCGTGAATAATAATTGAGATAGTAAGAATGCACATTATAAACTGTTAAGTATTATTCACATACCTACATATCCACATATCCTTATTCTGAATCCGATACTTTAACCAAGTTCAAAGGACTACTGTATAAATTAGAGAATTAGTCATCAAAGTTATTTTATCATTGTTCTTTCTTACTTTTAAACAATGTGAATTATAAAGCCTGAGAAATGGAACAGACACAGAGCTTTTACTTTATGTAAATTTCTCCTCTGCACTTGCCTTCTCAAAATATGTTTCACCGTTCAATTCATATATTTATTCAAAAGGTTCACCCAACTACAAAAGGAATAGGCAAAGGAAATGATTTTTTTTTAATTTACTATGAGGCTGAGCTGTTCCTTCTTTCTTTTTTTCTTTTTTTTTTTTTTTTGATTTAACTTTTACTTTAAGTTCAGGGGTTTATTCTGTAGCTAAACTTGTGTCATGGGGTTTGCTATGCAGATTACTTCATCACCCAGGTATTAAGCCTAGTGCTCTTCTTTCTTGATCTGTTCTTTGTTTGATTAGCAAGGGAAATGTTAAATGTCTAAACTCTGTGAACACTTCTGAGATGATCATTTACTAATTCCTTCACTTAATGCTTAGACATTGAATTTTTTAAAAATGCCCAGTTGTTCATATTTCTGTCTTCCAACTTCGTCTCAACTCCCCACTAGCCAACATTTCCAGAATGGTCTCTGGGTATGTATTAGTTTTCTGTTGCTGCCTTAATAAATTGCCACAAACTTGGTGCCTTAAAACAACAGAAATTTATTCTCTTACAGTTCTATAGGCCAGAAGTCCAAAATCATGGTGTCAATAGATCTTTTGTCTTAGCCTGTTTTATGCTTCCATAACAGAATACCTGATACCAGGTAATTTATAAATAACAAGGTTTCTTTCTATCAGTTCTAGAAGCCGGGAAGTTTAAGATTGAGGATCTGGCATCTGGTGAGGGACTTCTAGCTGTATCATCTCATGGTGAAAGGCAGAAGGGCAAGAGAGAGAACCCACCCCTAAAAGTGATGTAAAACAACATGGTATAAAAAAGGGGGGCTGGGTCTTTATGCATTGCTGCCTCTCTTTCCTCTAGTTCTCCATCAATACTTTGGTTACCTCATAGCTGCTTACCCCACAATCATCTGCTGTATGGTCTGCTTAGTGTGAACTGCTAAGTTTACTTTGTGGGAGCTGATTCATAGTCTGAAAGAAGAGAGTCTGCAAATCATCTCATCGTAGAATCTAAAAAGTGGCAAGGAATAGAGGCCACATACTTATTTAATGCAGCATCTCTCCAATTAGGACTTTAGCCCAAAGAGGAGAAAACAGAGACACTATTCTAGCTTCTAGAAAATAAGGACACTCTCTTCCTTTTCTTTCTCTGCTTCTCATTGACCATCCTCAGTGTTATGAAAATTGCCACCACACCTTTTCTTCTTCCCATACCTTCTTTTCTTCCTCCAAAATAAAAAGATGTAGAAACAAAAAATATAGTCTCTAAACCTCAAATGAGCTTTCTCAACTAAGTCAGCCAGACTAACCATTGATATATTAAAGAAATTGATAAAGAAATTTACAAAATCCTTTTTCAGTCTAATTTGCCTGACTTAAAAACCTCACACATCTCAGTGCCAGATCTTTGTAGAAAACATAAAAAGTTAAAGATTTTCTGGGTGCCTCACTTTGATTATTTCAGTAACATTGCTAATAATTTCCCATCCCACCCCCATTTGCCCTAAACCTGTTCAGGTCCTGAGCATGAGAAATGCATATTTTGGCTAGATGTGGTAAAAATCTTGTACTCTGTATCCTAACCTTTTTGATAACAAAATAATAGGCATGAAAATGAAAAAGGCAACCGGAAGATCACAATTAGTAAGAAAAAGCACAGAAACGAAAATGAAGTGGAACTAAAGGCCTCATCATGGATCTTTGTGATGCCAGCAGGTTCCAAGCTTCTAGCAATTTCTCCTCACTGGCCCTGTTTCCCTATTTCTCTCCTGTTTTCTTTTCGTCTTGTTTCCATGAGGGCTCCCCAGCTTGCTTTTCTTCATCAGTACTCCAGCAGTTCCTTCTAGAAGATCTTCCTGTGCTAGGGAGAACAGCCTTCTTGCCACAGTTTCACCAGCTGCTCAGCACTGATGCTGGCATCTCCTATTTAGGGCCTGTTTTTTTTTTTTATGCCCCCCACCCCGATCCCGCTTCCATACTCAGCAAGCAGCTGATTTCCTTTAGCTCCAGTTTAACAGCGTTAACTCAAAGCCCCCGTGTGACAGAAACTTAAAAGAACATCCATCATGGAACTCTTTGCATATATGGAATGGAGAGAAATCTAAAAACCACACAGAGAGGAAGGAGCCCCTTACATGCCTTCACCCATATAAAGGGGGGAAAAAAAGTTTTCCCAGCATAGGTGGGATGGAGGAGAAGTGAGAGGCTTTCCTTAAACCAACTCTGAGGACATGCTTGAACTTTACAGTGCATGTTCAGCTTTAATCAGAAGATCTCTGCACAGCCTCAAGACCTAACCTCAGTTTCCAGCACGCAGCACTCACTGTGCCTTATCCTGTAACATCAGTGAATGCTCGGGTGCACATATGCACAGTAGCTGACTTTACAAAATGGGTAGAAATGGCACTCCAGGGCCAGAGCTTGCCCTTTGTTTAAGGATGGATCAGATTCATGTTACAGTTTATTGTTTTTAAGATTACAAAAGTGTGAGGTTAGTTCTCTTGCCTATAATTCATCAGTCCTTTGAATCATCAAATGACATGATGACTCATGAATTTCTTCCTTCATAGGTCATATTTTAATCTTATACGAATTTCATATGAAAAATGAGAAAAGCATCCACTCATCATACAAAAGGGACACGAGTGAGTTTGGACTGAAAAAAAGATGACAAAAAGGAAAAAGAACCCAGCCAATAATGCAGCAAAATTCTATTCTTTGACGGTCTTATCCACTGGAATAGTCAGAGGTAAGTAAATACACAGTTTTCTTCATATTAGTGAGGAGATCATCCTTCTCTTTAGTCAAACTCAGAGTCTTAGTTTTCTTTTTTGCACCAAGTTTATTTGTTTTTCATTTTCCACTTGGTAAAATATAACTTCTGCTGAGGCTGGTTACTTAAATGTTCTATCTTGAGTTTAATTGTAATCACGTGGCATTTTAAATCTGAAAATTCACAAAAAACTTTTATTTAAATCATTTAAAAAGATCCCTTTCCAACTATTGAAATTTAATTATTATAAGAACAGTACCACTATGTTAAAATATAATCACCTTACTCCTTTTGGCTTCATGACAGTGTTCATAAAGTGCTTAATATTCATGTAACATGCTACCTCACCCTGTAATATCACTATATTTATGGAAAGAAAGTGTAATCCTCTTTACTGGCTCAGGTTAATTCCAATAAAATGTTACATCCATTTTCTAATCTAAATGAGTTCATTAGGAGAGGCATGGTACTGAGAATACCAAACTCTCTACAGAGTTCAGCTTCATTACATTTCCGCACTGTGCGTTTCCAGAGCTGTTGTACTACATTTATGAGGATTTATCTGTACTGTTCCAAAAACATTCATCCTAATTCTACTCCTTCTGTGCATGCTAATCATGAATATGTTAAGTGGAAATACTAAGCTTGTAGCCAATCTCATCCCCAGATGGGTTCAAGTTATGATTACAGAAGCAAATTTGCCATAAGCACTCTTAGAGCAGTGCCAGGGAGGAGGAAATGAAGGTCTGGAGCAGCACTCAGGAGAAAAAAAAAAGAAAGTAAAAAGACAGTTTGAGACAGAGTAGGAGTGTCATAGATGTTAGAGACATAGAATAAAAAAAGGTATTTCCAGATTGCTGTGTCTCAGAAAGACTTCCAATAAATTATAAATAGACCTGTTCTGAAGAAATTTGAAATAGATGCAAGAATCAAACCATTACCTTTAAATGTTTGGAGTCTCCACAAGTCTATAATCCAGAGTTGAACTTTACATTATTCATCTTATTATATCTAGCAAATCTTCACTCCACTAAGGCTTCCATTTGAATAAAATAATGGACCTTTTAGGAAGGAAGACAAGACCAACCTGGGATGTTCACATCGTAAATAATTATACAATCCCCAACTGTCTGCCCATGGAGTGCCTTCACTTCTTTTATTTATTTACTTATAGATTTTTACATATACCTAGCAGATTTGTTTTCTTTCCTCTAAGGTAAGAGAAGCAATAATAGGTTATTTGATTCATGTATCACAGAGGGTGAAACCATCAAGAATCCTTATCACCTCCTTTATGTTAGCATGTGCAGTGACTTCATGGTAAAACCATTTTAATCTACATTTTGTGTATTTAGTCAACAAAACAAAGATTTCCCAAATAGGTTGTAGATATCAACCTATTTTAGTAGAAAAATGAGATGAAGATGAACAAGAAGCAAGATGTTTCTGACTGTTGGTTATTAAAGCCAGATACAGGTTCATCTTCATAAAGTCTGCAATAAAGGGTGAGCCTAAAGTGAAAGGCAGCAGCCACTGGTTGTCACTGTTGTACCACAAAACAGCAATTGCAGGTCTATTCTTTCAAAAGGCTGCCTTTTGAGAACAGTTTGAAATGATGTATTTGACTATTTGGTTTATCATTAAAACTGAGCACACAAACCTGCAAGGCTCCACGGATTGCAGTCTAGTAGTAGACATTTTGATGTGGGAGTTTGACAGAAAAATAGTTCTATATGAATTACATTGAAATATGAAATAAAGATTTCATTATCTACTTAAACAAATATTCTGTTTTTAAATGGTCATGTGAGATACATGCTACATCTGTTAATTAAAGCACACATTCGTTCTGATGTTTAAACTAAATAGTATTATGGTAATGCCTAGTGTATATAATTGATCACTTCAAGGCTTAGATACATTACTCAAATGAAGTGTTTTCTAATGATTGAGCTTATATCATTTTTAAGCAGTAGATGAGTAGACAGCCTGACATAATCTTCCCTTTCCCAAATCTGATTAAAACTGGCAAGACAAGAAATCAATGGGATCCTGAATATAAAATCCCCAAATATCCTGCTGTGTTTGAAATTAATTAAGTACTGTGAGGCAGAAGCCTCAAATCAATAAACATCAATGATGGTAGTGTTAAAGATGGGAAGAGTTGGCAAGAAATCAGCCTGGTGTTCATGGTTGTAAGATGATTGTCTACTCTAAGAAATTAAAGTTTAAAATTAGAACAATTGTGCTTAGGCAAAATGCAGAGACAGGTTTTGAAAGGCAAGAACAATGACTGTGTTTCTGAAGACAGTCTTCTAAATTTGGAAAATTATACTTCTTAAGAAAACATGAAATAGTACTTCAATTGTACCTTCAATGAAATCAGATCTTTCCAAATTGAGTCAATAATCAATTTAAAAAATGGACATTGGTGTCTTCCAGAGATCACAGTGAGAGTGCCATGGAGTAGGTGGGGAAGCTAAAAGTATCAGTGGTGTTTTATATATCATTTCTACATAACTAGCTCAACTATGGAGTCTACTTTCACATGAGTTTTCCAGATTAAATACTATTGTTTTTCAAGGTCATTTTTTCTTGCGTTATCTCTATATTCTCTACTTCTTTCCCTTGTTTCTTTCTTTTTAACTTCTTGCTTTCTTGCTTTCTGTTTTTCTTAACCTCAGGCATAAGCTGTAATCCAAAAGCAATGAGGTAAATGCATAATCAGGAAAGAATATAATTAATGCTACCTATGTTGTTAAGTAATAAACATGTCACATTATTGAAATTTTTCTGATTAAAAATAGGTAAATATGTAAAGAAATCATTACAGTCATACCTCTTGTGTGGGATTCTATTTTCATCCAGAGGTAAACATTTTAAATACATTGATTTTTTCCTTAATATGGCAAATGAGAATAATTGTCTTCTCTTGAAAGAGGCAATCACAGTGGCAGAAACAATTTCACAAGGAAGAGATTTATGTCCAAACAATTATACTATACAAAGAAAGCTTATCAATAATGGTATCTATTCATATAAACTTCTCAATGTGTTCTTTAATCCAAATGTTTTTAAAGTCAGAGGAAGAGTAGCCACATAATCAATACAGGTACTTGTGAAAAATGACAGTTTCAAGCCTTTACATGAGACCTAGAGAATAAAGATCTCTCCATACAGCCTCTAAATACATATTTTCAACAAACTTGAAATGATTAGGAGCATTAAACTTTGAGAGCCACTCTTTCTGTCTCATTAAAGAAGAGAAGAAATGAATATATGACATTACAAATGTTATAATTACATCATTTTCATGGTCAATGGAGTCAAACGACCAGGGTTTTATGACTTAGATGAACAGCTCGGAATAGAAGGTAGCTTTATATTAATATTTATTTCCTAATATAATTATATATTTATAATGAGATATTTCATAAACCACATGGAATATAAACTCTAATTCAAGAAAGGGATCTTTTAAAAACATGTAGGATGAAAGGGGTTCTCACTAAATATATGCATTCATTGGCCACAATAACAACAACCAAAAAAAGGTCTCCACATTTCTTCTGTCCTGTGTCAGCTTTTGTATCATTGCCCTGTTTACTAAGGTTTTATTAGGTACCAACAGGTTGTTATTAAATTACTTGAGGAAAGTTTCTTCGTGTTCCAATTCTTTGTATGTCTAAACTACTCAGTTCTATTCATGTAGTAGGTATAGGGTAACCATTTGGTGAATTAGGAAGTTAATTAAGCACACACTGCATACTTCCCTAAGGCCATAGATATATTCTTTAAACATTTAGAGTAAAGCACATTTTTGTAAATTAAATAACCTTCAATTTAGTGCTTAAAGTAAAATCATTTAATATCCAACTACACTCTAGTGCCACACGACCTCTATGTCCTCTGAAAGAGGTGCAATGAATGCATAAATAGCCTCAACCAGATGCATAAATAGCCTCAACCAGAGGAGAAGGGACATAAAAGATTGGAAGGAAAGAAGGCATCAAGGTGTAGTGCAGACATGGCCAAGCTGAGATTTAAGGCTGTGACCCTTTCTAGTCTCCTCTCCATTTTAGAGTTAGAAGCCACCTTCAGGTTGTAGGGGGGACACAAGCCAGCTAGCTAGAAGACTAGAATTCCCAACTTGCCTGGCGGCTAGGGGTGGCCATGTGACTGAGTTCTCTCCATAGGAATATGAGATTGCACATATCATTTTCATAAAAGGGAATTCCTTTCCCTTTTTATTTTTATTTTCTTCTCTAGGAAGTTAAAATGCTAGCACAGTGGTGACCCAGCCTCAGTCTTGATGAACTATAACACTCTAGAGGAAGCACAGTAATGTAATAGAAGAAATCTTGGTACTTACCAGATGGATGAGAAGAAAGTACAGTTTTAGCTTGTCTGAGGTGCTACATTTTTAGCCCCTCTATCTTAGCCTATAACTGAATTAGACCGCACACAAAAATATGTTGTAACTATGTTTAAATGCATTAATTCACTCCATTTTTTTCATCAATGAGTTGACTGATCATAGTGCTGACCAGAAGGAATAAGAGGAAGTTTAATTGGTGGAGTGAGAGAAACTCCAAAATAAGGAAGCATAAAAAGACAGTCAAAATCTTGGAAGAGAATTGAGAAGAATGTTTGTCCTACTGAATAAGAGAACTTGAGGGCAGGCAGCATTCTTTAGTCTAAAGATAAAGTGAAATGTTTGATATTTTAAAGTGAAAAAAACTTAGCTCTTGTCTTCCCTGGGGATAAATGTCATATCCAGAAGATACCTGGAATAAATACAAATTATTTAATAATTACTTAATAAAATTAGATAGCATGCAGTGTATGAATGAAATCAAAAGTAAAAAAAGCCCCAATTTAAAGTAATTTAAAGAATACTTGGCTCCCCGTTGTAACTCATTTAATACTATGTTTTAAGACAGACACTTTTATGTCTTAAAAATGAGAGTGATACCTGACTACTTCTAATATATGAAATAGTTATATCTTAAACTTAGATTTTAAAGTACACATACTAACACTGTGAGTCTCAATTCATGAATATGCCATTTAAGCTAGATGTTTTAGGTCTCATATTTGTGTATGCCACTTTTTCCTTCCTGTGAACCAAAAATATCCATGACTTTAAAGTTGAAACAAGCTACCACCGCTTAACATTTGTAAAAACTTGATCTTTTGAGAAGTCAATACAGAGAATAAGCAAAACAGGGTGTTAACAGCGCAGAAAGGGGTTTTGTAAAGACAGAGAAAGCTAAAATAAAATTACAAGATAGGTCACATTTATGTTCACAGTCTTTCATTTCCCCCACCTCCCTGTTTATCACCTGCACCAAGACGACGCCTATGAAGCAAAGTCAACCAGCCCAGCCATTGCCTGACTGGCCTCCGGTGATTGCCAGTCACTCAGCTATATAAGGATTCTATTCAAAT